>NC_000014.9:73551106-73702622 GCF_000001405.40 Homo sapiens | reverse complement strand
CCTTCTGGTAATCAGGTGAGGACTAGGAATGGTCAAGTGCAGTAGTAACTTGCTGTCCCTGGAAGCACTCTTTCCAGAAGCCTAATAATTTGAAATAGTGCCCAAAGAACTGGGGAAGAGTTACAAGCCTGGGAGAAAAAAACCTACTAAGAAAAAAAAACTTAGCTAAAGAAATGAATGCCTCTGGCCGTGCGCGGTGGCTCGTGCCTGTAATCCTAGCTCTTTGGGAGGCTGTGGCGGGCAGATCACGAGGTCAAGAGTTCGAGACCAACCTGGCCAGCATGGTGAAACTTCGTCTCTACTAAAAATACAAAAATTAGCCAAGCATGGTGGTGTGCGCCTGTAGTCCCAGTACTCGGGAGGCTGAGGCAGGAGACTCGCTTGAACACGGGAGGTGGAGGTTGCAGTAAGCCGAGATTGTGCCAGTGCACTCCAGCCTGGGCAACAGAGTGAGACTCCGTCTCAAAAAAAACAAAACAAAAAACACCTCTCTCTTTCACTCTCTCTCATGCACGTGCACACACACACACACACACACACACACCACACAAACTGCATGGTACATGTTATCCAAAGGCTGAATTTCTTTGGACTGAATATCACTAGAAGTTTATATAATTGCTCTATATTAGCTAAAACTAATAATCATGTACCAAAAATATACTTTTTTTTTTTTTTACAAAATAACACAATTTATTACCATTTTGAAACAAATCACAAAATAACATTCAGAAACTCAACATTTCTAAATAACTTAATTCACAATAAGTTTAGTCATAAAGTCATGCTACAAAACTCCTGTGTATAAAAGATTATTACCAAGGTATTCATAGATGTTAAAATGTTCTTCAGAATGGAGTTGGTTCTAGAAGCCAAAGATTCTGGAATGATGCTCGTAATCATGACTGCCAGCCTGGGAGAGGAGCTGGCTATGCGCATGTGCTCTTAGCTTCCAACTCACCAGTCTTTTGATGGGAGTGATCCCTCCAGGCAGTAGCACCTCAGAGGCAGGTACCCTACTGATCACAGAGGCAAAGAGCCTCCCACCCATATAATGTTAGACAACTCTACATTCATTTAAAATCTAGAGGTGGGAATGATAATTCGCAAAGCTTCTATTCTGAGTAGGAGAACTACTTGACACATCCCCCAGAGGGATGATCTTGGATGTAACAGACATGGAAGACGACTCAAGTAGGGAAAAAGGGAAATCCTGACTCTGATTATGTCAAAAGACAGTTAACTACTCATGTGGGTTTAGAACGAGCAAGGGTGAGGTTTGATTCTCTAACATCCAAGTGCAGGCTAGATATTTACCCATCTGCCCTATGGAAGTCCTTTCCACCAACATCCAGTTCCTAAGTTTAAAGTGCAAATCTACTGAAAAATAGTTTACTATCCCTCTTCCCCTATGTTAAATTTGCTAGATCATAATTTGGTTGGCTGGGTCTCCTCTAAACTGCCCAATATGGGAAATTAACTAGAATCCAGTTAATGACTTCTCCAAATATCAAGTAAAAAGTTTTATCAGTTTATCTTAGGTCAGAGAAAGGTAAGACTCAGTCTAGTTCTTCCTTTCAGTTTTCTTCCTTTACAGATTTATAAAATGCAGGAATAGAGATACAGATATGGTATTTCTAAAAGTTCCATGATTTTAAAACATGACCCTTGATTTTTGGAAGTTCACCCATTTTATGGTTTACAAAAAGAAAACAATATGACACATGTTAGAGCACAGATAAAGAAATATGGTCAAGTTAGCTTGTCAGAAGAAGCACCAACTCTGCTACACTGAATCTTGCTTTTATATTTCATGATTTACAGACACATTAAACAGCCCCAAATAAATAAAATCTGTGCCAAAGGAATGAATTTCTAGTAAAGGGTAACATGCAATTTAGCAGTTTTCTTCCTTTACCAACACTTACAGAGTATAAGGTCTTAGTGAATTGATGGTCTGACTGTAGTCAGAGAGACATAATCTATTCATGACTGATGCTTTGACACTTCCTCCTAATGCTTTTAAGTGAATGATTAACTCCAACCTTTCTGGGCCCTGTGCTTTTCCATTTAGCCCTGAGAAAAACCCAGGTAGAAGATTCCAACTCTCTTTACACATCACCAATTCTCAGAATAAGTCAACAGTCAAGATTCATTTCTTATTCTTCCTTATTCTGCTTCAGACCACTGGTAAAAGGTGTCAAAAGAAGTGTTTATTCAAGTTCAAATTCCTCTTTCCACAAAAGAACCACATTTTTTTTTTTCTTTTTGAGACGGAGACTTACTCTGTCACCCAGGCTGGAGTACAGTCACACTATTTCGGCTCACTGAAGCCTCTGCCTCCCGGGTTCAAGCAATTCTCCTGCCTCAGCCTCCCGAGTAGCTGGGATTACAGGCATGCGCCACCACGCCCGGCTATCTTTTTATATTTTTGGTAGACATGGGGTTTCACCACGTTGGCCAGGCTGGCCTCGAACTCCTGACCTCAAGTGATCTGCCCACCACGGCCTCCCAAAGTGCTGGGATTACAGGCATGAGCCACAGTGCCCAATCAGGAAACACATTTAAGTGCCTTATACTACCATATGTGGAATGAATCCAGTAGCCATACCAAGTTATTGACCAGTTATCTTAAGCAGACATTCTTCTGATCACATCCAAAATTGATGTCTACATCAGCTAACTTTCCTACAAGATTATCAAATTTTACACAGTATTTTTCTGTATTTAATGACTGCCATGGTCTGCAAAATTATGTGATTAGACAATGAATGACGCTTAAAGAATGATGACCTATTTTCTAAAGTACACTCAAAATATTAAACTTTAGAGACAAAGCAAAATCTATCATAAAGTTGGCTTCTGTTGATAGAAACAGAGAGGTAGGTTAATAATCACTGTCCTAAGATAAGCAAGAATGCTTAGAAATAAAAGTTGAGACCCTGCTTCAAAAAAGAGAAGTTGAACCTTCCAGCCCTGAGTTTCTAATATTACATGAAAATTATGAAAATGAGCATTAAGCCAGTCGCAGTGGCTCACGTCTGTAATCCCAGCACTTTGGGAGGCTGAGGCAGGCGGATCACGAGGTCAGGAGTTTGAGACCAGCCTGGCCAATATGGTGAAACGCCGTCTGTACTAAAAATACAAAAATTAGCCAGGCATGGTGGCGCGTGCCTGTAGTCCCAGCTACTTGGGAGGCGGAGGCAGAAGAATTGCTTGAACCCGGGAGACGGAGGTTGCAGTGAGCTGAGATTGCGCCACTGCACTCCAGCCTAGGTAACAGAGCGAGACTCTGTCTCAAAAAAAAAAAAAAATGAGCATTACAAAAAATACCAGTGACCATTTCTTTCCATCCATGATTACTGAATACATCACCTTCTCTCATATAACAATTCAAGTGGCACATGGCTACAGACTGAAAATAAATGGACCCTGGACACAAGTGATGTTGGTATAAAAAGTACAACTAAGGGAGAATTTGTTCCCACCCTCCTACCCAAGGGACAGATGGCAATGTCTGGAGATATCTTTGTTGTCATGGCTGAGGAGGGGGTCTACTGGAATCTAGTGGGTAGAGGCCAGGGCTGCAGCTGAACATCCTAAGCACACAGGACAGCCCCCAACAACAATGAATTATCAATCCCAAAATGTTAATAGTTCCAAGGTTGATCCTCTGGTTTAAAGGAACAAATTCTTATTAACAGAGAACAACACAAAAACCTTTTAAGGCCTGTCTAGGTAATACAGCCCTAATCTTAGAGTTAGGGAACATAGAAAAGTTAAACTCCTTGGTAGACTAAAATCAAATTTGCTGTGAAAAACTAAAATACTGGACTGATTCCAGAGTTTTACCATCACTTACAAGAATAGAAGAAATTTGGCCAGGCACGGTGGCTCATGCCTGTAATCCCAGCACTTTGGGAGGCCGATGTGGGCAGGTCATCTGAAGTTAGGAGTTCAAGACAAGCCTGGCCAACATGGTGAAACCCCATCTCTACTAAAAATACAAAAATAGGCCAGGCATGATGGCACGTGCCTGTGGTCCCAGCTACTCGGGAGTGAGACTCTGTTTAAAACAAACAAACAAACAAACAAAAAAAAACAGAATAGAAAAAATTTAAATGATCCACTAAAATGGCGTAATGTCTTAAACCGGAAGCACAGAGATAATCTATTCCACATAGGTCAAATATCTGATCCAAGAGGCATAAACCAAAGGCAGTTTTATCAGCTAAATTTGCAGCAGTAAAGGATAATTTAGGGAATGATTTGAGAGAATATCCTACATTTCTTCATACATCCCAACTGCCATTTTCTAATGGCATGGGTTCCATGAACAGGGATGCATAGAAGTCATTCAAAGATTTGTTGAATGATACTGAATATGAATTTTGCATGAAATGGACAGAGAAAAGTATCTTACATTTGTCTGAGAACTACCTGTAATTAAAAGTCATTGAGAAACAAGGAGAAAGAGAACCAGTTTCTATATTACAGAATTCAGAAAAAACAAACACCAAAACTCTAAGCCATTTTACAAATAAATTCAATATGAAATCACTTACTTCCTATTATATTCACTTCCAGGGTTACTTTTAGAAAACATATCCATATCAACATGGCTTCAAGCTTGCCTACTGAAGGAAGTGCAAACTTTAAGAAGATCATCTTCCCTCTCAGTTTATGGAACTTAAAACATCACCAAGGAGAATGAAGGCTCATTGCCTATGGTTCATAAAAGAAATGTCCAAAGGCTTTGAATGCATAAACCAGCTAGAGTAGAATAAGGTTTCTTCCTATCAGATTGAAAAGAAGAGAGAAAAGAAAACTAAAAGGGTGTTAGACCAAGTTTTCCTCTTTTTTTTTTTTTTTTTTTTTTAAATATGGAGTCTCGCTCTATTGCCCAGGCTGGAGTGCAATGGCGCAATCTCGGCTCACTGCAACCTCCGCCTCCCGGGTTCAAATGATTCTCCTGCCTCAGCCTCCCGAGTAGTTGGGACTACAGGCGCCCACCACCAGGACTGGCTAATTTTTGTATTTTTAGTAGAGACGGGGTTTCACCATGTTGGTCAGGCTGGTCTTGAACTCCTGATCTCAGATGATCCGCCCGCCTCGGCCTCCCAAAGTGCTGGGATGACAGGCATGAGCCACCACGCCTGGCCTCTTGTTTGTATTTAGAGTTGATTGTCAAAGCAGTGGTCCCTTTTGATCAGAGTAACTTAGAAAAATCAAGTAATTCCTATGTAAATGATAGCTGAAATCTTCTGAAACCCAGGACTACTTATGCAATCACTTTTTAAAGATGATTCTTCCCTCTTTCACTGTGATTTTATGCAAGTAAAATCACACAAGTAGATGGGGAAACCAGAATCAACAGTCTCTGAGGGACTTTAGGCACAATTTGGCAGAGGGCCCCTGACTTCTTTTCTGCAATCTAATAGTGATCCAGCCATGGCCTCCTATGACCTCATCTGCTTACTGACTACAATGTCTTACATTTTCCTGAAGGATTTTTTGTTTACATGATAAATTCTAACCTCTGCATCTAACTATTGCTTTGCAATTTTGAGGTTAAATCACCTACACTGCTTTATGTAGGAGACAATCCTCAAACATATTGCCATTTGCCTGGGATCTCATAATGAAACATCTCCCTTCCCTCCACAACCACGTACATAATACATTTTAAGAGCTGTTTAACTTAGAACTTCTCAAAAAATATATTTTGAAATACTAAGTTTCATTATACCCTTACTTATAACCATGGTAGTCACTTTTCCCAACAATGAGGGTCACCAGACCAAATAATTAGGGTAAATTTTGACATACATCAATGGCCAGCATTTAGTCTAGGAATTCAAATATAACTAATGCTTTAAACACATAAGGAACTATAAAACCAAAATGTGTGCTTAAGGCGAGGTCCACATGAGTAACATTGCCACATTATCAGTCAAAGAAATGATCATGACAGTCATTTTAACCACTAACTGAGATCACAGAATGACTGTACACAATGACTCAAGTGGCCATGCATATAAAAACAACCTAAATTCCAGTTGACAATGTGCACATTTTTGGAAAAACAAATAAGTATAATATAGACTAGAAGGTCTCTGAGATACTACTTTTTCCTTTTTTCACCATATCTTTTCCAATGGAACTTTGGAGTCTTGGTTCCGGACCTGCTGTATTTCTAAGAGGAACTCTTCCCATCACCATGCTGCCTTCTGAGCTAAAGGCATGTGCTTCTGAATTGTACAGAGACAGACCTTCAGGAAAAATGTTCTGAATTTTCAAATGTACATCTTTTAAAATGTCTAACCTAAAAAAAATGAACAAACTGAAAAAAACATTTGTTCCTTTGTTATTAAAAATGACTGGTCTACAAAGGTTTTGTTTTAGTAGATGGGGCTACACAGTACGTAACTGAGACTGAAGACAAAAATCGAAAATTTGTGGTTTCTAAAAAGAGAAATAGGATATATAAGGTTGGCATTACCAGTTTTGGGGAGAAACACTGAATAAGTTAAAGGAAAAAAAAAGATGAGAATGAGTGATCTGTTTTATCTTAAGAAACTTTTGTCCCATACAGAATCTTTAAAATAGACAATTATATAAAATTTATCTATTGTTCTTATGACATTTAAATAAGTTAACACACAGTGGAAAGCGTGGCATTAGTTGTCTTCTTCCTCATCCCCTTTAATTACTGGAGTACCTAAAATGAAAAAGAAAATTATTACTGGTTATTCTCAAAAAATTGCTAAAATTCTAGATGAAAATATTTTCCTGGCCGGGCACGGTGGCTCACGCCTGTAATCCCAGCACTTTGGGAGGCTGAGGCGGGTGGATCACCTGAGGTCAGGAGTTCAAGACCATCCTGGCCAACATGGTGAAACCCCGTCTCTATAAAAATACAAAAATTAGCTGGGCATGGTGGCGGGCGGTTGTAATCCCAGTTACTTGGGAGGCTGAGGCAGGAGAATCGCTTGAACCCGGGAGGCAGAGGTTGCAGTGAGCCAAGATTATACCATTGCACTCCAGCCTGGGTGACAAGAGCAAAACTCCATCTCAGAAAAAAGAAAAACCTGAGAAGCTCTGAGATACTATGAAGTGTGCCGTAATAAAAATAATTTCACAAAATAATCTCTTTAATTTCAAATTATCTGAAAAGCTTCTCAGGGGAATTCTCAAATGGTTTAGTATACATACTTGTGAATATTAAGCCCCCTAACTGCCAAATCGCAAATAAAAATGCCTATGGCCAGGCATGGTGGCTCACTGCCTCTAATTCCAGCACTTTGGGAGGCCAGATGAGAGAAGCGCTTAAGCCTAGGAGTTGGAGACCAGCCTGGGCAACATAGCAAGACCCCATCTCTACAAAAAATAAAAAAAATTAGCCAGGCATGGTGGTGTGAGCCTGTAGTCTTCAACTACTTTGGAGGCTGAGGTGGGAGGATCACTTGAGCCTGGGATGTCCAGGCTATGGTGAGCTGTAATTATGCCACTGCACTCCAGCCTGGGTGGCAGAGTAAGACCCTGTCTCAAAAAAAAAAAAAAAAAAAAAAAAAGCCAACAAGTACCAAGTAGAAAAATAAAGTAAGTTCTGTACATGTTAAAAGCTTTCTATGGGCCGGGCGCGGTGGCTCACGCCTGTAATCCCACCACTTTGGGAGGCCGAGGCGGGTGGATCACTTGAAGTCAGGGGTTCGAGACCAGCCTGGCGAACATGGTGAAACCCCATCTCTACTAAAAATACAAAATTGGCTGGCTGTTGTGGCGCATGCCTGTAATCCCATCTACTCAGAAGGCTGAGGCAGGAGAATCGCTTGAACCCGGGAGGCGGAGGTTGCAGTGAACCAAGATCATGCCATTGCACTCCAGCCTGGGCGACAGAGCAAGACTCCATCTCAAAAAAAAAAAAAAAGTTTTCTATGTTAAGCATAAAGAAATATTCCTCATTTCCCACAATAAAATGTGTAATCACAGTACTGCCAAAAATCTGAACTCCTCTAATTGTCATTTTATATGACCTCCCCCAATTGCTGAACATTGGGGATACACTGAAAAAAAAATCACTGTAGAGGAAACAAAGCACATCTCTGGCTCTCACTGGGCCAACGGCCACCCATCTGAGCTTTAGCATTTGAAGCCAGTCTGACCCCAGCTGAGTATTCAGTCTTAACTCTTCAGCCATTTACCCTGCACTCCAGCTAACCTGATCAGTTCATCGTCTCCCAAACTCATCTTGCACACTTTTACCTCTGGC
Organism: Homo sapiens; assembly: GCF_000001405.40. Lineage (NCBI taxonomy): Eukaryota > Metazoa > Chordata > Mammalia > Primates > Hominidae > Homo > Homo sapiens. The sequence goes on along the minus strand of NC_000014.9, from coordinate 73,694,350 downwards.
CTACTGGTTAACAAAGTTCCTTCATTTTTCTTTCCCTTTTCTCTTCTCTTCTCTGAAGACTTTATTTATTTATTTATTTATTTATTTATTTATTTATTTATTTATTTATTTATAGACAGGGCTTGCTATGTTGCCCAGGCTGGACTTGAACTCCTGGGCTCAAAGGATCTTCATGCCTCAGCCTCCCAAGTAGCTGGATCTACAGGTGCATGCCACCGTGCCCAGCTTAAAGTTCCTTCATTTTGTAATGTCCTCAACTCTCCTCCCATCTAAATCCTACCCTTTATGAAGAACAAACCCCAGTACCTCTCTTCCTCAGTGATGCCTTCCAAGAGGGACATGTTCTTTACGGCAGTGAGCATAGTTTGACCTCTCTGTACACTCCTGAGCATTTGTTTGTGGGACAAGTGAACTTTTTGTTGACGCGCAACATACAAAGTGTACAAATTATAACGTACAGATTGATAAATGTTCATAAAGTGAACACAAACTAGTTACCGGCACCCAGATTTAAGAAAGATTATCAGAACCCCCAAAACTGCCTCAGGCCCCCTGCCAGTCACTATACCCACAAAAGATATATTCTATCCTAATATCTAACACCATAGCTTATTTTCCTTGTTTTTTGTTTGTCTTTTTAAAGACAAGGTCTTGCTCTATTACCCAGGCTGGAGTGCAGGGGTGTGATCACAGCTCATTACAGCCTCAAACTCCCAGACTCAAGCAATCTTCCTGCCTCAGCCTCCCAAATAGGACCACAGGAATGATATAGTATGTACCCTGTGTCTGGCTTCTTTTATTCAACACTATGTTTGTATGATTCATCCATGTTGTGTAAAATTTTAATTCATTCATTTTTACTGCTGTTTAATATTCCATTGTATGACTATGCCATATTTTATCTATGTATTCTATTGTTCATGAACATTTAAGTAGTTTATAATTTTTAGCTATTAATATACTGCTACTATGAACATCCTCATACGTGTCTTTTGGTAAACATTCACACCCTTTTCTTTGGGGTATGTAGTTAGGAGGGAAATTGCTGGGTCACAAGGAATGTATGTGTAGAGTTTTGTAGATAACGCCAATTTCCCAAAGTGGTTATACCAAGTTACATTACCATCCTACAGGGTATAAGAGTTGCTTCACATCCTCACTAGCATTTGGTATTGTCCGTCTTTTTTATTTTAGATTTTTAACATCCCTCAGCTTTAGGCTGGGCGCGGTGGCTCACACCTGTAATTCCAGCACTTAGGGAGGCTGAGGTGGGTGGATCACGAGGTCAGGAGTTGAAGACCAGCCTTGCCAAGATGATAAGACCCCATCTCTACTAAAAATACAAAAATTAGCCAGGCGTGGTGGCGGACGCCTGTAATCCCAGCTCTTCAGGAGGCTGAGGCAGAGAATTGCTCGAATCTGGGAGGTGGAGGCTGCAGCGAGCTGAGATCGCGCCACTGCACTCCAGCCTGGGTGACAGCGTGAGACTCCGATTCAAAAAAAAAAAAAAGATCCCTCAGTTTTGCTTATGAGCAACAGAAGAGAAACAAAAATGGGCAAGTTTGCAGCTGTGGCCATCTCTGTTCTGGTCTATCCCACTGGTTTAGAATAGACTAAGGTGTTCTTCTAGGGGCTGTTCAGATTGACATGAAGTCAATACATGGTCCAAAAGGCCATAATGTAGCTTTGTCTATTCAAGTTCTACATTGGTGGTTCTATTTTATTCTTTTTTTTTTTTTTCTCGGCTCACTGCAACCTCCGCCTCCTGGGTTCAAGCGATTCTCCTGCCCCAGCCTCCCGAATAGCTGGGATTACAGGCATGTGCCACCATGCCTGGCTAATTTTATATTTTTAGTAGAGACGGGGTTTCTCCATGTTGGTCAGGCTGGTCTCGAACTGCCTGTGCAGTGGCACAATCTCAGCTCACTGCAACCTCTGCCTCCCGGGTTCAAGTGATTCTCCTGCCTCAGTCTCCCAAGTAGCTGGGATTATAGGCGCCTGCCACCACACGCAGCTAATTTTTGTATTTTTAGTAGAGACAGGGTTTCACCAGGTGGGCCAGGCTGGTCTCAAACTCCTGACCTCAGGTGATCCACCCACCTCGGCCTCCCAAAGTGCTGGGATTACACACATGAGCCACTACACCCGGCCTCTATTTTATTCTTAAGGGAAGAGGTTCGCTTTCTACGTACAACCCTGAAGGAAGTAAAGACAAATGATTTGAAATCAGGAGGCTGAGGCAGGAGAACCACTTGAACTTGGGAGGCGGAGCTTGCAGTGAGTTGAGATGGTGCCACTGCACTCTAGCCTGGGTGACAGAGCAAGGCTCTGTCTCAAAAAAAAAAAAAAAAAAAGTCTGGGCACAGTGGCTCACCGCCTATAATCCCAGCACTTTAGGAGGCCAAGGCGGGCGGATCACGAGGTCAAGAGGTCAAAACCATCCTGGCCAACATGGTGAAACCCCATCTCTACTAAAAATACAAAAATTAGCTGGGGGGGGGGGGTGGCGCACGCCTGTAGTTCCAGCTACTTGGGAGGCTGAGGCAGGAGAATCGCTTGAACCCGGGAGGCGGAGGTTGCAGTGAGCCAAGATTGCGCCATTGTATTCCAGCCTGGGCAACAGAGCCAGACTCTAAAAAAAAGAATGACAGACTGAATTTCTTAACAGCCCAGCTGAATTGAATTGGGGAGGTAGTGTTCAAAGTCAAAATGAGGTCGATTTATATTGAAATATTTCTTATACACTTGCATTTTGGGATTGAGTTAAAATCTAAAATAATTATAACTCTTTATTTTGTTTCTGAGACAGAGTCTCACTCTGTTGCCCAGGCTGGAGTGCAGTGGCATCATCTTGGCTCACTGCAACCACCGCCTCCCAGGTTCAAGCAATTCTCCTGCCTTAGCCTCCTGAGTAACTGAGATTACAGGCACCCACCACCAGGTCCAGCTAATTTTGTATTTTTACTAGAGACAGGATTTCACCATGTTGGCCAGGCTGGTCTCGAACTCCTGACCTCAAGTGATCCTCCCACCTCGGCCTCCCAAAGTGCTAGGATTACAGGTGTGAGCCACCACACCCAGCTAATAACATATATTTTGAATACTTACTTTATGTTAAGCACAACGTTTAGCGTAGATTATCTCTATGTGTTCATTGTTTCACATAGATTATTTTATTTAATCCTCATAATAATACTCTGATATATGTTCTGAAATGATTACTAATGATACTATTATCATCTCCAGTTTTTAGATTACCAATGAACAAGGTTTGGTGAGATTAATTAATTAGCACAATTTCACAAACTATTAAGTGGAGGAGCTGGGACTTGACTCAGTTAATTAGGGTTATCTACTGATGCTGACACTGATCTTAAGATATTGGGAAACTAAGACTGGGGATGAGGGGAGAAACAGAGAGAATACCACAATTTTGATCCAATTGTAAAAAAGCAACTGCTTACCATGTATTTCTAATTATTCTGCAGAATCAGAATAATTTTTGATTCTGATCAAAATTTGTGACCTTTGTGTTACCTTTCTGACTTGAGAATAAGCCTAACTTTCTTTATTTTTTAAACTTGCTTAAATGAGCTAGAAGTTTATTTTTCTTTTACATAAAAGTACAAGTAGATAGTAGATAGACATGGAACTTTATGTTGTCTGGAAGTCAGGATCCTTCTCTTTTTTTTTTTTTTGAGACGGAGTTTCGCTCTTGTTGCCTAGGCTGGAGTGTAGTGGCACAATCATGGCTCACCACAACCTCCGCCTCCCGGATTCAAGCGATTCTCCTGCCTCAGCCTCCCGAGTAGATGGGGTTACAGGCATGCACCACCACATCCGGCTAATTTTGTATTTTTAGTAGAGATGGGGTTTCTCCATGTTGGTCAGGCTGGTCTCGAACTCCCAACCTCAGGTGATCTGCCCGCCTTGGCCTCCCCAAGTGCTAGGATTACAGGCATGAGCCACCGCACCTGGCCAGGCTCCTTCTCTCTTACTGCTTGCATGGGTGTCCTCCTTGTGATACAGGGAAGAGTGAGAAAAGGAGGAGGCTCAGCACCAAACCCTGAATAATTCCAGCTTTAATCCAACATAGCAGAAGGAAATTTATATCAGGAAAAAATAAATATACAATTTTTTAAAAATAAATACAGGGTTTTTCTCACTATATTGCAAAGGCTGGTCTCAAACTCCTGACCTCAAGCAATCTTCTTGCCTCATTGAATAGCTTGACTACAGAAACGTGCCACTGTGACTGGCTCCATGTAGATTTATAAGGCCTAGCTTTCTTTTCTTTTCTTTTTTTTTTTTTTGAGACGGAATTTCACTCTTTTTTGCCCAGGCTGGAGTGCAATGGCACAATCTCAGCTCACTGCAACCTCCGCCTGCCGAGTTCAAGTGATTCTCCTGCCTCAGCCTCCCGAGTAGCTGGGATTACAGGTGCCCGCCACCACGCCTGGCTAATTTTTATATTTTTAGTAGAGATGGGGTTTCACCATGTTGGCCAGGCTGGTCTCAGACTCCTGACCTTCGGTGATCCACCCGCCTCAGCCTCCCAAAGTGCTAGGATTACAGGCGTGAGCCACCCATGCCCGGCCAGGCCTAGCTTTCTTATAAGCTTTTGGTCTAGGGAGAATCTTGTACCAGTCTAAATATCCTAGCAGTTTTTCATCTCACCTTGGCTCAAACCTAGACCATTCAATTTTACATAGATAGAAATGACCTGGAAGATCAGAGGTATTTTTTCTTTAGTTTTTCTCCTCTTCATGATTCCATGCCACAAATTCCATTTTTATGCCTAGAAGATATGTCTAAGCCAGCTCAGAATCACTCACCATCCAGCTTTTTCAGTTTGGGCACTCTCTTGGTTGCTTCTTCAATCCAGTTATTCTCAGCAGAATGTTTCTCTTCCAAGGGATTGCCTACAAACACCAGGTCTTCGAGGCATGGCAGTTCTGCCAGCTTCACAAACTCAGCTACAAGTAAAAGAATATTTTCCATATTAAAACACTAAGTTTTGGCCGGGTGCGGTGGTCCACGCCTGTAATCCCAGAACTTTGGGGGGACAAGGCGGGCGGATCACGACATCAGGAGATCGAGACCATCCTGGCTAACACAGTGAAACCCCATCTCTACTAAAAATACAAAAATAAGCCAGGCATAGTGGTGGGCACCTGTAGTCCCAGCTACTCAGGAGGCTGAGGCAGGAGAACTGCTTGAACCCGGGAGACGGAGGTTGCAGTGAGCAGAGATTGCACCAATGCACTCCAGACTGAGCGACAGAGCACGACTCTGTCTCAAAAAAAAAAAAAAAAAAAAAAAAACAGCAAGTTTTACTGTTACAATTTTGGGGATTAAATTCCAATATCATTAACCCTCAGTTTGTGACTATTCATGACAATCAGTTGTTTAAGATTTTGAAGGAAGCTAGGAAAGTTATACCATATAAAGTCATTCTCAGAAGACAGTACAGGATGGGAGGGAAAAAGAAGACATACCTCTCTACTTTAAATGCTAGCATAAGGATGAAATAAGACGAGATGAGATTCAAAGTCAAAAAGAACAAATCACTCTCCAGTGACAGGTCTTCTTCATGCTGTGCTGCATCAGTGTAGGTTAAGCTAACCTGCCTTTGTCTGTACCCATTCCCTCATCTTTGAATTCTTAAAACAACACATTCAAATCTGTATTGCAGAACTTATCACACAGTTTTGCTTTTTTTTGTTTTGAGAAAGAGTCTCCTTCTGTCACCCAGGCTGGAGTGCAATGGCTTCATCTCCACTCGCTGCAACCTCTGTCTCCTGGGTTAAAGCAACTCTCATGCCTCAGCCTCCCAAGTAGCTTGGACTACAGGCATGTACCACCACACCTGGCTATGTTTTTGTATTTTTGTATTTTTACAAAAAAAAATTTGGGTTTTGCTATGTTGGCCAGGCTAGTCTCAAACTCCTGACCTCAGGTGATCTGCCCGCCTTGGCCTCCCTAATTGTTGGGATTACCAGCAAGAGCCACTGCACCTGGCCTCTTATCACACAGTTTTATAATTATCAGCTTACAAACTAATTTTCCCCACTAAGCTGTGAACTTCTTGAGGGCAGGGATAATGTCCTATTCAACTATGTATCCAAAGAGACTGGTATAGTTCATCGCATATAACTGAATGAATTATATACAATAAAAAAGCAAAGTAACATAGATATCAAATAAGTCTTCTACCTTTGAAGTATTAAATTTAAACTGATTACTTCAGCCTTTGGATAATAGCTTAAATTTTTTTCATGATTAATAGGACCAGGACCTATCAGATTACGTTCATCCTAATTTTTTTTTTCAAGTTCTTTCACTTTTTTATTTTTTATTTTTATTATACTTTAAGTTTTAGGGCATATGTGTACAACGTGCAGGTTTGTTACGTATGTATACATGTGCCATGTTGGTATGCTGTGCCCATTAAGTCGTCATTTAACGTTAGGTATTTGAGACGGAGTCTTGCTCTGCTGCCCTGGCTGGAGTGCAGCGGCGCGATCTCGGCTCACTGCAAGCTCCGCCTCCCGGGTTCACGCCATTTTCCTGCCTCAGCCTCCCGAGTAGCTGGGACTACAGGCGCCCGCCACGACGCCCGGCTAATTTTTTTGTATTTTTAGTAGAGACGGGGTTTCACCGTGTTAGCCAGGATGGTCTCGATCTCCTGACCTCGTGATCCACCCGCCTCGGCCTCCCAAAGTTCTGGGATTACAGGCGTGAGCCACCGCGCCCGGTCCATCCTAAGTAAATATTTAAATATAAATGTTAAGCATTTAAAATTTAGAAACTCCTATTGCTGTTTCTCTCTGAGCTTAGCCATAAATGTTTCCACTTTCTCTCTGTGCTTAGAAATAAACGTTCTCGTTTTGCATCTTTTCCCTCTCGGACTATTTTCTATAAACAGGCGGTAGAAGGTTAGCAAAGGGCCACTCTCAGCTTACCCCAGTCTTTTACCAGGTTATTAGACATGTAGAGAATCTTCAATTTCTTCATTATGTGGATCCCTTTCAACTTCTCAATAAAATTGTAGGAGATCCACAGTTCTTCTAATGTGTCCCCTACTGCCTCCTGAAAAAGAACAAAATTTGATTTATGTTTATGTTTAAGCTTTTCTTTCTGTCTTCTTCTTTATAAAGATATACATAATGGCTTCCAAAGTGAACTTAGACCCTGCCTGTCTACTTGTAGAAGAGCTAGTAGTTGTGTGGGAGGTTTTTTTTTTCTCATTGAGGGAGCTAAGTAGAACATTCCATTCCCTTCTTCAAACTAATCTGAACTCTTCCTTCTCTGACTGCTCCACTAAAAAAAAAAAAAAATCACAAAACATAATACGTTACTAATACTGAAATCACCAAGAGGGGAAATAATGGCACTATCTTATCTCGTTCATTAATGGTACGGTTTTCAAATTACATTCCTATAGAGTATATTATTTGGTCCTTAGAACATCTGCTTTAAAGCCGATAAGGCAGGTTATTTGATTTCTATTACAGAGGGATTAAGGGCTTTTTCTAAGAACACACTATTAAATAATAGAGCTAGGTCTAAAATTCAGGGTCTTCTCCAACATTTATTATGATGATTTTCAAACATAAAAAAGTTGTTTTTTGTTTTGTTTTGAGACAGGGTCTCACTCTGTCACCCAGACTGGGGTGCAGTGTCACACTCACAGCTAACTGCAGCCTCAACCTCCCCCGGGCTCAAGCAATCCTCTCACCTCAGCCTCCCTAGTAGCTGGGACTACAGGTGCACACTACCACATCTGGCTAATTTTTGTCTTTTTGGTAGAGATGGGTTTTGTAGAGATGTTGTCCAGGCTGGTCTTGAACTCCTGGACTCAAGGGATCTGCCCGCCTCGGCCTCCCAAAGTGCTGGATTAAGGCATGAGCCACTGTGCCCAGCCAATAATACAATTTCCTGTAAGTATTTGTTAAGTAGATAATAAAGACAAGATTTTTGTGAAGCAGTCTAGTGAATATCAATGAGGAAAACCTGGCAAAGTTTGAGTGAATCAATTCAGTGAAATCTGTCATTAAATAAGCTGACTCTTTCGAGAATTGGACAATAACTGAACAGTCATTTAGCAAACTGGTCAGCTTCTGCATGTAAACAAGCCATTTCTCCCCTCAGTTTCTTACTCTGTAAAATGAGGAGACTGGCGCAATGAAATACCATCTCATACCCATTAGGATAGCTACTATCAAAATCACAGAAAATAGTAAGTATTAGTGAGGATGTGGAGAAATTGGAACCTTGTACACGGTTGGCAGGGAGGTAAAATGGTGCAGCTGCTATGGAAAACAATTTGGCCGTTCCTTAAAAAATTAATTATCATATGATAATTGATATCACTTAACAGGGGATCCAGCCATTCCACTTCGGGGCACATATTCAGAAGAAATGAAAGTGGGATCTCGAGATATTGGTACGCCCATGTTCACAGTAGCAAATTCACAATAGCCAAAAGATGGACGTGACCCAAGTGTCCACTGATAGACAAACGGATAAACAAAACATGGTATATACATACCGTAATAGAATATCATTTAACATTAAGCAGGAATGGGCTGGGTGCAGTGGCTCACATCTGTAATCCCAATACTTTGGGAAGCCAAGGCGGGCGGCTCACCTTAGGTCAGGAGTTTGAGACCAGCCTGGCCAACATGGTGAAATCCCATCTCTAATAAAAATATAAAAAAATTAGCCGGGCATGGTGGCACATGCCTGTAGTCCCAGCTACTTTGGCGGCTGAGGCAGAAGAATCACTTGAACCTGGGAGGTAGAGGTTGGAACGAGCCAAAATTGCGCAACTGCACTCCAGCCTCAGCGATACAGTGAGACTCAGTCTCAAAAAAAAAAAAAAAAATTAAGCAGAAAGGAAATTCTGACACACGCTACAACATGGATGAAACTTGAGGATATTACGCTAAGTTAAATAAGCCAGTCACAAAAAGATAAATGCTGTATGATACTACTTATATGAAATACCTAGAGTAGTTAAATTCGTAAAGACGGAAAGTGGAATGGTGGGTGCCAGGGATCAGGGAAGAGGCAGTAGGAAGCTACTGTATGCTTACAGAGGTTCAGACACACAAGATGAAGAGAGTTCTGGAGATGGATGGTGATGGTTGTGCAAGTCTACTTACTACCACTGAACTATACACTTAAAAATGTTTTAGATGGTAAACTTTATGTTATGTATATTTCACCACCATAAAAAACATTGGAAAAAATGAGGAAGTTGGACAAGTTCTTTAAGGTTCCTCTCAGCTATTAAAATTTATGATTTTTTAAGGTCAACAAACCATTGTAAGTATTGAAAACAAAAAAGTAAATGTCTACTCTGTAAATAATATCATGTTGGAGGTTACAGAAGTGGGAGAGCTTTATGAAATGCCATAAAATCTATTTTTTTAGTTTGTTTTTTAGTTTAGAGACAGAGTCTCGATCTGTTACGCAGGCTGCAGTACAGGGCACAATCAGGTCACTGCAGCCTTGAACTCCTGGGCTCAAGTGATCCTCCTGCCTCAGCCCCCTGAGTAGTTAGAACAGGCACGTGCCACCATGCTTGGCTAATTTAAAAAAATTTTTTTTTGTAGAGACAAGAGTCTCACTATGTTGTCTAGGCTGGTCTCAAACTCCTGGCCTCAAGCAATCCTGCCTCGACCTCCCAAAGTGCTAGGACTATAGGCGTGAGCCACCATGCCCAGCTGACCTCTATTTTAGACTATATGTAATGAGGATGATGATGATGATTATTGCTCTGTATAAAGTAATGAATCCAGGTAACACAATGTTGCTTGAAAATTGTTGTGGGGATGTGATTTATAAACAGTTAAGAATTGTTGGTAGGTAGTTGATTACATGTTAAGTATACAAAAATAAATGGCTTTTATATTATTTAATATAAACAGGAAGGGTGTTAAAGAGAAATGCATCATAGCAACAAAAACTATAAATTACCCAGGAAATTAAAAATAGAACTACCATATGATTCAGCAATCTCACTACAGGGTATATAGCCAAAAGAAATGAAAACAGTATGTCGAAGAGATAGCTATCAGCACTCCCATGTTTACTGCAGCACTATTCACAATAGCCAAAATATGGAATCAACCTAAGTGTCCAATAATGAATGAATGTATAAAGAAAATATGGTATATCACACAATGGAATACTATTCAGCCATAAAAAAGCATGAAATCCTGTCATTTGTTACAATGTGAATGAACCTGGAGAACATTATGTTAAGTGACACATCAGACACAGAATGACACTGCATGATCTCACTCATATGTGGAATCTAAAAAAGTTGATCTCGGCCAGGTGCGGTGGCTCACGCCTGTAATCCCAGCACTTTGGGAGGCCGAGGTAGGTGGATCACTTGAGGCCAGGAGTTTGAGACCAGCCTGACCAACATGGTGAAACCCCGTCTCTACTAAACATATAAAATTAGCCAGGTGTGGTGGTGGGCACCTGTAATCCCAGCTACCTGGGAGGAAGAGGCAAGAGAATCGCTTGAACCTGGAAGGTGGAGGTTGCAGTGAGCTGAGATCACACCATGGCACTCCAGCCTGGGTAACAAGAGTGAACTTGTTATTCTCAAAAGAATAATAATAATAATAATAAATAAATAAATAAAAAAAGCTGATCTCATGGAAGTAGAGAGCAGAACAGTAGTTACCAGAGACTGGAGAGGGGGGTGGGGGGCTGAGGGGAGGATGGGAATAAGTTGGTAAATGAGTACCAAGTTACAATTATGTAGGAGAATAAGCTCTGGTGTTCTATTGCACAGCAGGTTAACTATAGTTAACAATAATATATACAGTCATGCAATGCATAACATTTCATCAATGATTGACTCTATATACAATGGTGGTCCCATAAGATTATAATAGGGCTGAAAAATTCCTATTGCCTAGTGATATCCCAGCAGTCATAATGTGGTAGCACAAGGCATTCAAGTTTGTGGTGATACTAGTGTAAACAAACCTACTGAGCCACCAGCCATACACACGCATAACACATACACTTATGTATAGTACATAATAATGATAGTAAATGACAATATTACTGGTTTATGTGTTTACTATACTTTTTATAGTTATTTAAGATATACCCCTTCTACTTATTAAAAAAAAGCTAACTGTAGGCTGGGCGCGGTGGCTCACGCCTGTAATCCCAGCACTTTGGGAGGCCGAGGCAGGCGGATCACCTAAGGTAGGGAGTTCGAGACCAGCCTGACCAACATGGAGAAACCCTGTCTCTACTAAAAATACAACATTAGCTGGGCGTGGTGATGCACGCCTCTAATCCCAGCTACTCGGAAGGCTGAGGCAGAAGAATCGCTTGAACCCAGGAGGTGGAGGTTGCGGTGAGCCGAGATTGTGCCATTGCACTCTGGCCTGGGCAACAAGAGCGAAACTCCAACTAAAAAAAAAAAAAAAAAAAAAAAAATAACTATAAAACAGCCTCAGACAGGTCCTTAAGGAGGTATTCTAGAAAGAAGGCACTGTTGTCATACGAAATGGTGGCTCCATGTGTGTTACTGCCCCTGAAGACTTTCCAGTGGGACAAGATGTGGAGGTGGAAGACAGTGATATTGACTCTGGGTAGGCCTAGGCTAATGTATGTGTTTGTGTCTTCATTTTTAACAAAAATGTGTAAAAAAGATTTAAAAATTTAAAGATAGAAAAAAGCTTATAGAAAGCTTATAGAATAATGAAATAAAGAAAGAAAATATTTTTATACTACTATACAATGTGTGTTTCCAGCTGTTATTACAAAAAAGTCAAAAAGTTAAAAAAATATTGAAAAGTTTTTAACATTAAAAAAGTTGGCCGGGCGCAGTGGCTCATGCCTGTAATCCCAGCACTTTGGGAGGCCAAGGCGGGCAGATCACTTGAGGCCAGGAGTTCGAGACTAGCCTAGCCAACACAGTGAAACCCTATCTGTACTAAAAATACAAAAAAAAAAAAAAAAAAAAAAATTAGCCAGGCATGGTGGTGAGCACCTGTGATCCCAGCTACTCGGGAGGCTGAGGCAGGAGAATCACTTGAACCTGGGAGGCAGAGGTTGCAGTGAACTGAGATTGAGCCACTGCACTCTAGCCTGGGCAACAGAGCGAGACTCCATCTCAAAAAAAAAAAAAAAAAGTTACAGTAAGCTAAGGTTAATTTCTTATTGAAGAAATAAAAACAATATTATTATTTTTGAGACAGAGTTTTGCTCTTGTTGCCCAGGCTGGAGTACAAAGGTGCGATCTCGGCTCACTGCAACCTCTGCCTCCCAGGTTCAAGTGATTCTCCTGCCTCAGCCTTCCAAGTAACTGGAATTATAGGCATGCACCACCACGCCTGGCTAATTTTGTATTTTCAATAGAGATGGGGTTTCTCCATGTTGGTCAGGCTGATCTCGAACTCCCAACCTGAGGTGATCCACCTGCGTCAGTCTCCCAAAGTGCTGGGATTACAGGCGTGAGCCACCATGCCCAGCTAAACATATTATTTTTATTTATTTATTCATTTATTTAGAGGCAGCGTCTTGCTCTGTTGTCCAGGCTGGAGTGCAGTGGTGTGATCAGAGCTCACTGCAAACTCTAACTCCTGGGCTCAAGCAATCCTCAGTTTCCTGATACCTAGGACTACAGTGTGCATCACCACACCCAACTAATATATATATATATATATATATTTTTTTTTTTTTTTTTTTTTTTTTTTTTGGTAGAGATGGGGTCTCGCTATGTTGTCCATGCTTGATTCCAACTACTGGCCTTAAGTGATCCCACCGCCTCAGCCTCCTCAAGTGCTGGCATTACAGATGTGAGCCACTGTGCCCAGCTAAAACATTGTTTATAAATTAAGTGTAGCCTGTGTACAGTGTTTTATAAAATCACCGGGTGCGGTGGCTCATGCCTGTAATCCCAGCACTTTGGGAGGCCGAATCGGGTGGATTACCTGAGGTCAGGAGTTTGAGACCAGCCTGGCCAACATGGTGAAACCCCATCTCTAGTAAAAAATATAAAAACTAGCCGGGCATGGTGGTGGGCTCCTGTAATCCCAGCTATTCAGGAGGCTGAGGCAAGAGAATTGCTTGAACCCAGGAGACGGAGGTTGCAGTGAGCCGACAGGGTGCCACTGCACTCCAGCCTCAGTGACAGAGTGAGACTCCGTCTCAAAAAAAAAAAAAGCAAAAAAACAACAAACCCAACAACAACAAATAACAACAACAACAAAAAATCTACAGTTGTGTACGGTAATGTCCTAGGCCTTCACATTCACTCATCAGTCACTCACTGACTCATCCAGAAAAACTTGCAGTCCTGCAAGCTCCATTTATGATAAATGCTCTATACACCTGTATCATTTCTTATATTTTACACTGTATTTTTACTGTACTTTTTCTATGTTTAGATATACAAATACTTACCATTGTGTTCCAACTGCCTGCAGCACTCAGTACAGTGATATGCTGAGCAGGTTTGTCGCCTAGGAGCAATAGGCTAAACCATATAGCCTATGTATGTAGTAGGCTATACCATCTAGGTTTGTGTAAGCACACTCTATGATGTTCACACAACAACGATTGCCTAATGTTGCATTTCTCAGAATATATCCCAGTCATTATGTGATGCATGACTGTATTTCAAAATAGCTAGAAGAGAAGATTTTTAATGTTCTCACTATAAATAAATAATGTTTGAGTGATTGATATGCTAATCACCTTGGTTTGATCATTACACAACGTATATATATGTATCAAAACATAGCATTGTACCCCATGAATAAGTATAATTATAATGTGTCAATTTAAGAATTACTCAGAAATAAATCTTTATACATGAAATATACAAGGTCTTATAGGAATTAAAACTATGGAATTCTACTGAAGGACATAAAAAATATGAATACGTCTTCTCATAAGATTCATTATTATAAAGCTATAACTTCTCTCCAAATCAATTCACAAATGTAATATTTAGGAGTTTTTTCATACATGGACAAAGATGGTGGAGCAACACAGCTTGTACAAAAGATTGCAACAACCTAAGTGTCCGTCAGCCGTGGCCTAGCTAAATATATTAATACTATGCATTGAGGAAAACAAGGTGGAACTTACCTGTATGTGCTGAAGTGGAATAATTTGCAAGATATATTAAGATAATTTGATAAAATGATTCTCAAGTTTCTCTGAAGAGTAAATGCCCACAAATATTTTGAAAAAGGAGAGAGGATTTTTCTTGATATCAAAATAAATTCTAAAGTTAAAGAAAATTAAAGCAGCATGATATTGAAGCTGAAATTTATAGAAAGAACAACAAACAGAAAGAAACTGACCATCCAGGAACCTACCCATGCATATCCAGGAGTTTAGCAGGTGGCATTTACAAACAGTAGGAAAAAGAGACTTTTCAATAAATGGCTAACCAATTAAAGAAAAAAAAAAAAGACATGATACCTGCGCCTCATGACACATGTAAAAATAAACTCCAGATGAATTAAGAGTATAGACTTAAAATTTTTAATTAAGAAGATAAGACTATTTTTACAATCTAGTACCTAAGACCTTCTATGTAAAATACAAAACACTGAAACCATAAAGATTTGACTAACAAAAATTTTTAAATACCATTTGGTAACCACGAATAAGGTAAAAAGACAAGAAACAAACTAAGAGAAAATATATCAGTTTTGAAAACTGCATTAAATTTCAATGTGGAAACTGTGATCAGATTGCCAGGGTCTGACTAACATGACTTAAGTCTTCTGCTTCTTCCTCTTCTCTGCCTCCCCTTTCCTTCTGCCCTTCCCCTCTACTTCATTAGCTTCTTTTTTGTTTGTTTATCCAATTATCTCTCAGTGAACACTTAGGTTGCTTCCACCTTTTGGCTATTATAAATAATGCTACTACAAACATGAGTGCATTTTTCTGTTTGCATTTTTTAAGGAGAAAATAATCAGTATTTTAACAGAAAGAGTATTAAAAATGTACACAAGATTTAAAAAAACCAACAAGTATAAAAACAAAAGTCTTGGCCGGGCACGGTGGCTCACGCCTGTAATCCCAGCACTTTGGGAGGGTGAGGCAGGCGGATCACAAGGTCAGGAGTCCAGACCAGCACGGCCAATATGGTGAAACCCTGACTCTACTAAAAATAAAAAAATTAGCCGGGTGTGGTGGCATGTGCCTGTAGTCCTAGCTTCTTGGGAGGCTGAGGCAGGAGAATCGCTTGAACCCGGGAGGTGGAGGTTGCAGTGAGCCGAGATCCAATCACTGCACTCCAGCCTGGGGGATGCAGCGAGACTCCGTCTCAAAAAAATAAATAAATAAATAAAAATAGAAAAGTCTTTCTCACCCTATACCCCAGCTCCCTTGCCCAGAAGTAACAGCTATCACCAGAAATACTCTATGCATATATGTACATATAAATATTCACTTTGCTTTTTCTACACTTCATATATCTTGCAAATTATTCCATTTCAACACACAGAGGGAAGTTCCACCTCATTGTTTTTCCTCAATGCATAGTATTTATTAATATATTTAGCTAGTCCACTGCTGATAGACACTTAGATTGTTGCAGTCTTTTGTATAAGCTATGTTGCAGTGAAATACTTGCTCTACCATCTTTGTCCATGTATGAAAAACTCCTAAATATAGAATAGGTGGGACAAAGAAATACACATTGAATATTGTGATAGCTATTGACAAACTGCCTGTCTCAGCAACAGTGTTTAAGGATGCCTGTTCACAACTGCTACTCCAGGCACACTGCCTATGGGGTAGCACTGCTAAAAAAAAAAAAAAAAAAAAAAGAATACCTGCTCACTATATTTGAATACTTTACATAACTGAGCCTCAGTTTCTTTATCTTAAAATAAGGATAATAACATCTACTTGTGAGCTGGAAATGAGATAATGCATGTAAAGAGCCTACTATGTGGTTAATAAATGATAATTACAACAACAATATAATAGCATTTTCAATATTGATAATTATTAGGGATATTAAAAAGTACCTATAATTCAGTAAGAAAAAGATAAATCTAGTAGAAAAATAGGTTAAAAATGTGTTTGGTCAATTTCCAAAAGATGAAACCTAAATGACTAGTATATAAAAAGATGTTCAGCTGGGCCCAGTGGCTCATGCCTGTAGTCCTAAGCACTTTGGGAGGCCGACATGGGCAGATTGCTCGAGCTCAGGAGTTCAAGACCAGCCTGGGCAACATGGTGAAACCGTATCTCTACAAAAAATAAAAAATATTACCTGGGTGTGGTGGTGCGTGCCTGTAGTCCCAAGTACTTGGGAGGCTGAGGTGGGAGGATCACTTAAGCCCAGGAGGTCGAGGTTGCAGTGAGCTGAGATTGTGTCACTGCACTCCAGCCTGGGTGACAAAGTCAGACCACCATCACACACACACACACACACACACACACACACAAATATATATATATATATATAAATATATGGGCCGGGCATGGTGGCTCACGCCTGTAATCCCAGCACTTTGGGAGGCCAAGGTGGGCGGATCACGAGGTCAGGAGATCGAGACCATCCTGGCTAACACGGTGAAACCCCGTCTCTACTAAAAAATACAAAAAATTAGCCGGGCGTGGTGGCGGGCGCCTGTAGTCCCAGCTACTCAGGAGGCTGAGGCAGGAGAATGGCGGGAACCCGGGAGGCGGAGCTTGCAGTGAGCCAAGATCATGCCACTGCACTCCAGCCTGGGCGACAGAGCCAGACTCCGTCTCAAAAAAAATAAATAAATAAATAAATAAATATATTTATATATATGTTTATAAAGAAAAGACATTCAAAGTCAGAACTGACTAGATAATGGAAATTAAAACAACACGGTACTTGCCGCGAACAGTGGCCTGTAGTCCCAGCTACTCAGGAGACTTGAGGCAAGAGGGTCACTTGAGCCCAGGAGTTTGAGTTCAGCCTGGACAACATAGCGAGACCCTGCCTCTAAAAAAAAAAGAAAAAATCAACACCACCACCAGACTCCATTTTGCCTATCATACTGGCAAATGTTAAAAATATGAATACTACTGGCTGGGCGCGGTGGCTCATGCCTGTAATCCCAGCACTTCGGGAGGCCGAGGCGGGCAGATCACGAGGTCAGGAGATCGAGACCATCCTGGCTAGCAAGGTGAAATCACGTCTCTACTAAAAATACAAAAAATTAGCCAGGTGTGGGGGCGGGCGCCTGTAGTCCCAGCTACTTGGGAGGCTGAGGCAGGAGAATGGCGTGAACCCAGGAGGTGGAGCTTGTAGTGAGCCGAGATCACGCCACTGCACTCTAGCCTGGGCGACAGAGCAAGACTGCATCTCAATTAAAAAAAAAAAAAAAAAAAAATGAATACTACTCACTGATGTTGAGGGTGGAGGGGATAATCTTCATCCATGTGCCAGTGATGGAAATAGAAACTAGCATTAGCATTGTGGGAACAATTTGAGGTACCTATCAAAAATTTAAAGGCACAAAAATATCCTCAGCTTTTCTACTTTCATAAATCTATCCCATCACATGTAAATACGCAAATAACTGCTGAGGGACATGTGTGCAAAGATGTTCACTGCAACATGATTTGTGGAAAGAGGAAGAAATTGAGAGAGAGAGAGAGAAAACCCACACTCCTCACCCAAGAAAAAAAAACCTGGAAATAATCGAAATGCCCAGCAGTATAGGAATAGTTAAATACATGATTGTATACTGATACTGTAGAAAACTACACAGCTATTTTTAATGTATTAAATCTGCATGTATTGACATTGAAGGATATTATTGATATATTGTTGAGAGAAAAAGCTAAATTACAGGAAAAAATGGCTTGTACACTATCAGAACAAACAATATGACACACACACACATATACACAGAGCTATTTATTTGTATATCCACAGAAAATATTTTAAAGTGCACAAAACAATAAAATTTTTGTTACTTCATGGAGCTGGTAGGGAATAGGAGGTAGAAAGACCAAAGATTTTCACAGCATATTTCACATATTTATAAATTGCTTGATTTGTTTTCGCAATGAACATATGGTACTTATAGAATTAAAAAAAAAATTTTTTTTTTTTTTGAGACAGTCTCTTGCTCTGTCACCCAGGCTGGAGTGCAGTGGCGTGATCTCGACTCACTGCAAACTCGGCCTCCCAGGTTCAAGTGATTCTTGTGCCTCAGCCTCCCTAGTAGCTGGGATTACAGGTACGTGCCACCACGCCTGGCCTAGAATTAAAATTTTGACTCCGTCTCAAAAAAAAAATATTTTATTTTATTATTTACTTATTTATTTATTTATCGAGACAAAGTCTCACTCTGTTGCCCAGGCTGGAGTGCAATGGCGCAATCTCGGCTCCTGCATCCTCTGCCTCCTGGATTCAAGCGATTCTCCTGTCTCAGCCTCCCAAGTAGCTGGGATTACAGGCACGCGCCACCAGGCCTGGCTAATTTTTGTATTTTTAGTAGAGACGGGGTTTCACCATGTTGGTCAGGCTGGTCTCGAACTCCTGACCTCGTGATCCACTGCCTCGGCCTCCCAAAGTGCTGGGATTACAGGCGTGAGCCACTGCGCCCAGCCTACAATTTTAACTTAATAGTTGTGTAACTGTAATAAAACATGTTGAGTCACTGAATAAACACTTACAGAGTGTCTACTATATATATCAAGCACTATTGTAGATGCTAATTAACAAAACTGAAATGGCCAGGCCCTCACAGTGGCTCACGCCTGTAATTCTGGCACTTTGGGAGGATGAGGCAAGAGGATCACTTGAGGCCAGGAGTTCAAGACCAGCCTGTACAACATAGTAAGACTCCATCACTACAAAAAAAAAATTTTTTTTTTAATTAGCTGGGCAAGGTGGTGCACACCTGTAATCCCAGCTATCCACCTGTAGTGCCAGCTTCTTAGGAGGCTGAGGAGCAAGGATTGCTGGAGCCCAGGAGTTCAAGATTATAGTAAACTATACTAGTCCGAGATTACAGTGAGCTGTAATCATGCCACTGCACTCCAGCCTGGGTGAGAGAGTGAGAACCTGTCTCTAAGCAAACAAAAATCAAAACTGAATGGTCATTAGGATTTGTGTGTGTGTGTGTGTGTGTTTGTGTGTGAGAGAGAGAGAGAGAGAACAAGAACAAGAATTTCAGGTAATAATGAGTAACATGAAAAAATAAAATTACAACTGGTAGGAGTTACTCAGCCAGGCGTGGTGGCTCAGGCTTGTAATCCTAGCACTTTGGGAGGTTGAGGCAGGTGGATTGCTTGAGCCCAGGAGTTCAAGACCAGCCTGGGCAACATGGCGAGACCCCTACTAAAAATACAAAAAAATTAGCTGAGTGTGATGAGGTGTGTCTTTAGTCACAGCTACTTGGGAGGCTGAAGCGGGAGGACTGCTTGAGCCCAGGAGACACTCCAGCCTGGGCGACACAGTGAGACCCTGGCTCAAAAAAATAGTTACTCCACCAGGCATGGTGGCTCACGCCTGTAATTCCAGCACTTTGGAATTACTCAGCTCAGGCTGAGGCCAGAGTATTGCTTAAGCCCAGGAGTTTGAGATCAGCCTGGGCAACATAGTGGGACCCTGTCTTTACAAAAAATTAAAATATTAGCTTGGTATGATGGCACACACCTGTGGCCCCAGCTACTCAGGAGGCTGAGGTGGGAGGATGGCCTGAGCCCAGGAGGTCAAGGTTGCAATGAGCTGTGATTGTACTACTGCACTCTAGCCTGGGTGACAGAGTGAGACCTCGTCTAAAACAAAAAGAATTAGTGCTTAGAGAGCTGCTTTAGATATACGGTGATTGGGTCACCTTTGAGGAGGCAACATCTGAGCTGAGGTGTAAAGATCAAGAAGGAGCCCACATCGTGATTGGGTCACCTTTGAGGAAGCAACATCTGAGCTGAGGTGTAAAGATCAAGAAGGAGCCCACATCGTGATTGGGTCACCTTTGAGGAGGTGACATCTGAGCTGAAGTGTGAGGGTTAAGAAGGGGTCCGCATTGTGGAAATCCATGGCAATAGAGTTTTTAAGACAGAGGGAACAGCCAAGTATAAAGATTCTCAGGTGGGAATGAATTGTGCATGGTCAAGGAACAGAAAGAAGGCCAGTCACTAGAGATTATCAACTAGGAGAAGAGAAACATGAAATGAGATCAGAAAGGAAGGCAAAGGCCAGATCATATATACAAATGGGTTTATAATGTACCTCAATAGTTTTCCTGAATAGTTATAAATCAACCCCTTTCCTTCAACTTAACATTCCATGTTTCACACATTACAGTAATCATTTTTAATTTACTGAGACAGCTATTTAAATCATGCTATGAGGCAGATGTGTCTAGATGAATAAGTCATCTAGTATGTGAACATATTAGAAACCCAGTATCTGCATCCCAATGCAGCTTTCTTTTTCTTTCCTTTTTTTTTTCCCCTCTGTCACCCAGACTGCATTGCTATGGCACAATCATAGTTCACTGTAAACTCAAACTCCTAGGCTCAAGCAATCAATCCTTCCACCTCAGCCTCCCCGAGTAGCTGGGACTATAGGCATGTACCACCATGCCTGGCTAATTTCTTTTTAAATTTTCAGTAGAGACGAAGTCTTGCTATGTTGCCCAGGTAAACTCCTGGCCTCAAGGGATCCTCCCACCTTGGCCTTCTAAGTGCCAGATTACCGGCATGAACCACTGTGCCCAGCCATAGCTTTGTTTTTCTTTATTCTGCAAATAAGCAATAAAGCTTTTGGACAAAACCCCACATTACACCCTGGAAAGAAAAACAACTATTGGCTATCATTGATAGGAGTGTATAAAAAGTGACGATATCTAAAACAAGTGATAGTTCAGCCAGATAGCATCTTAATACACAATACATACCTTTAATCCTATATTTATAATTTATTTGTGGTCTCTGGGTATTTATTACATTTTATGGAATAAATTACATGCTATAGTAATACTTGAGAATTTGGGATTCTATAAGGGATTCTATAAATACCTGGGGGAACATCAAGTATATTGACACTAAAAGTTCTGGAGTACATTTATCTGCAAACTATTTCTTTATAGATAACTCAAAGTTACATTTAGCCTGAAATATAATAATTCTGAATTTCTGTATTACAATTTAATATTTTACGCTTTATGCACAATGTCTCTATATTTGAAATTTTTCCATCTAAGGCTCAGAAACTGGACAGAAGGCTAAATATCCTTAAACTTACCAATTTATTTAGAACATCACAAATATCAAATTTTGCCCAGGTGTGGTGGCTCACGCCTGTAATCCCAGCACTTTGGGAGGCCGAGGCAGGCGGATCATGAGGTCAGGAGATCGAGACCATCCTGGCTACTACGGTGAAACCCCATCTCTATTAAAAAAATACAAAAAAATTAGCCAGGTGTGGTGGTGGGCGCCTGTAGTCCCAGCTACTCGGGAGGCTGAGGCAGGAGAATGGCATGAACCCGGGAGGCGGAGGTTGCAGTGAGCTGATATTATGTCACTGCACCCTAGCCTGGGTGACAGGGCAAGACTCCGTCTCAAAAAAAAAAAAAATCAAATTTTTACAGATCATTAAGAATTTTACTCACCATATCCAATTAGAAAACAAATAATTCATCTGATGGTTATTATTTTGGGTTAGGAAACTTCCTTTATTTAATCCCAGAATCTGACCCTTAAGAATTTCTTTTTTTTTTTTTTTTTTTGAGACAGAGTCTCGCTCTGTCACCCAGGCTGGAGTGCAGTGGCGCAATCTCAGCTCACTGCAACCTCCGCCTCCTGGGTTCATGCCATTCTCCTGCCTCAGCCTCCCAAGTAGCTGGGACTACAGGCGCCCGCCACCACACCCAGCTAGTTTTTTTGTATTTTTTTAATAGAGATAGGGTTTCACCGTGGTAGCCAGGATGGTCTCCATCTCCTGACCTCGTGATCTGCCTGCCTCGGCCTCCCAAAGTGCTGGGATTACAGGCGTGAGCCACTGCTCTCAGCCTGACCCTTAAGAATTTCCAGCATTTTATAAACTCATCAGTACCTCTTTATGCAGGTAAATAGAATCACAGAGGTGGAAATATAATTCAGAGTTTGGCTAACAAATTTGAGATAATTCCAAAATTGCACCTCTGAACATGACTCCTATTCAGGGTTACCACTGTTTCTGTACTGGGCAGGATGGTCATGTTAGCCTGTTTTGTCTTGGGAGGTTACTGTTGGAAACCACTGCAATTTCAGCTCCCCACTGCCTCTTACGAAGCACAAGCTAGATTTATTGGGAGGGGAAAAGCAGCCAGGGCCATACAAAATTTCAGTATGTTTATGAATTATTTAACAATAAACATCAAAAAGTATTGTCTTTTCGGGAACAGATACAAGAAATATTCACTTCATCTTTCCTGAAATTGCCTAGTTTTACGTTATTGTTCCATCTCACATTCTTTGGAAGGAAATTCAAATGGCCAATAAATATAGAAATAAGACATGTCAAAAAAATTTTAAATGCCCAAGGCTGGTATGGGAAATTGGGAAACCTCACACGTTACTGGTGGGAGTACAGGTTGTTGCAAACCTATTGAAGGGTAACTTGAGAATATGTCACAAAAGCCTTAAAAGAAACTGATACCTTTTGACCTAGTAATTCCATTTCAAGGAATTTATCCAAGAAATTATTCATAGATGTGTGCAAATTAAATAAATAAAATAATAATAAATAACAACCTACCAGTCCATTTAAGTTCTTTATGTTGTTTCTTCCTAAAGATAATATCCTCAAGTTTTCTGTAGTGAAAAGAAAACATTTTTTTGTTTACTAGAATCATATTACACAATTGTTGTAAATCTAGAATAATAAAGCTTTAATAAGTTTTATATAATAGATATCCTTATACAATGAGTAAGAAAGGTTGTGTTAACAAAAATGGGTAATCAAGTAGAAATAACATTGACCTATCATCTAAAGTAAACAGTACAGGTATAATTTCATAACATGTCAATATTAAATTTAAAAATGGTTAGCTATCTGGAACACATGGTCTTAAATTGCTGGCTAATAAAAATATTACAGGATAAAATAGCAGTAGAGAATATTTTGAGTTTGGGAGCATATATATTTCAAATCTCTTACAAGAACTCATACTAGAAAATAAGAACATATATTTATATATTGTCCATCTCACTCCATGAAGGATCAGAAGTGAAAAAAAATAAATTTGGTATTTAAAAAATCATTTTCTTTCAAGTTTTTAAATAATTAGACTGTGATTTGGTTAAAAAATAAAATGCCTGGCCGGGCGTGGTGGCTCACACCTGTAATCCCAGCACTTTGGGAGGCTGAGGCGGGCGGATCACGAGGTCAGGAGATCGAGACCATCCTGGCTAACACGGTGAAACCCCGTCTCTACTAAAAATACAAAAAATTAGCTGGGTGTGGTGGTGGGCACCTGTAGTCCCAGCTACTCGGGAGGCTGAGGCAGGAGAATGGTGTGAATTCAGGAGGCGGAGCTTGCAGTGAGCCGAGATCTCGCCACTGCACTCCAGCCTGGGCGACAGAGCGAGAATCCATCTCAAAAAAAAATAATAATAAAAATAAATAAAAAATAAAAAATAAAATAAAATGCCTATCTTTATTTTTTAAAGGTTATTTCTATTTGTATATCTATAGGCTATTTCTGGAAGAGAAAAAAGAAAGTAGAAACCGTGGTTGTCTTTGGGGAGGAACTAACAGAAGTAGACATTTCCCATTGTAACCTCTTTTGAACCATTTGAATAAAACCAGGTGCATATATTATTTTTCCAAATTAAAAATAAATTTCTTTTTGAAACACCCAGGAAACCTCATTTCTGTTCCAAGAAACTACTGTGATTACTTTTGCTTATTACTATATTTAATTTTCATAACTTAAACATCTATAACTTCTTTGTCTAATATGGTGGTCACTAGCCACATGTGGCTCTTTAATTAAAATTAATTACAATTTAAAATTCAGTTTCTCAGTCACATTAGCCACATTTCATAGTGCTTAATAACTATATGTAGCTAGTAGCAACTGTATTGGGACAGTGCTGACAGTTCTGTTGGATGACATTGTTCTATAACATCCATAATTGAATGGTAAGAACTCAAATCCAATTAACTGAGTTTCAATCCCAACTCTCTAGGGAAGCAAACAAACCTCTTTGAATCTATTTTCCCATATATAAAATGGGGAAATATAATTTCTATCTTATAGGAATTTAAGGATGAAATGAGATAATTACCTAAAATATTCAGTGAAATGTGTAACCCATGGTAAGTACACAATACAGATGTGTGTGTGAATGTGTGTGTGTGTGTGTATGTGTGTGTGTGAGAATCAGGCATATATAACTTCAATTTATTTAATAAATTAATTTGTCTTACAAGAAACAATGAGCTTTTAGAGCAAGGTATTTTAAGAGTGGTCTAATTCACACAAAATGATTTAACTGTTGAAGCAAGACCCCATGTTATGGGCTGAACTGTGTCCCCCGGAAAATTCATATCTTTAAATCCTAATCCCTAGTATCAGAATAGGACTGCATTTGGAGACAGAGCCTGTAAAGAGGTAATTGGGCCAGGCATTGTAGCTTATGCCAATTATCCCAGCACTTTGAGAAGGTGAAGTGGGAGTATCATTTGATGCCAGAAGTTCGAGACCAGCCTGGGCAACATAGAAAGACTCTGCCTTTACAGAAATAAAAATAAAAAATAAAAAATAAAAAATTTAGACCGGGCGTGGTGGCTCATGCCTGTAATCCCAGCACTTTGGGAGGCCGAGGCGGGTGGATCACGAGGTCAGAAGATCGAGACCATCCTGGCCAACATGGTGAAACCCCATCTCTACTAAAAATACAAAAATTAGCTGGGCATGGTGGCGCATGCCTGTAATCCCAGCTACTTGGGAGGCTGAGGCAGGAGAATCGCTTGAACCCGGGAGGCGGAGGTCACAGTGAGCCAAGATTGCGCCACTGCACTCTAGCCTGGTGACAGAGCAAGATTCCCTCTCAAAAAAAAGTTTAGCTGGGCATGGTGGCACATGCCTGTAAGCCTAGCTACTCAGGGAGGCTGAGGCAGGAGGATGGTTTCAGCACAGGAGTTTGCACCACTACACTCTAGCCTGGGTAACAGAGTGAGACCCTGTCTAAAAGAAAAAAAGAAAAAGGTAATTAATTGGGCCATTTGGACACTTAAAAAAAAATAAAGGGGTAATTAAGGTAAAATGAGGTCATTTGGATGGGCCCTAATCCAACATGATCGGTATCCTTGTAACAAGAGGCAATTTGGACATAGACACAGAGAAAAGAACATGTACAGAGAGAGGGAGGGGCCAGGTGTAGAGGCTCACGCCTGTAATCCCATCACTTTGGGAGGCCGAGGCGGGTGGATCACTTGAGGCCAGGAGTTTGAGACCAGCCTGGCCAACATGGCGAAACCCTGTCTCTACTAAAAATAAAAAAATTAGCTGGGCATGGTGGTGTGTCCCTGTAATCCCAGCTACTCGGAAAGCTGAGGCAGGAGAATTGCTTGAACCTGGGAGGCGGAGGTTGCAGTGAGCCAAGATCGTGCCATTGCACCCTAGCCTGGGTGATAGAGCAAGGCTCTGTCTCAAAAAAAAAAGAGACAGAGGGAGAAGACGGCCATCTACAAGCCAAGCAGAGCGGCCTCAGAAGAGATCAACCACACTGACATCTTGATCACAACTACAGGACTTTTACCCTCCAGAACTGTGAGAAAATTTCTATTGTTTAAGCCACCCAATCTGTGGGACTTTGTTACAGCAACCTAGCAAATTAATATATCCCATATAACTATAAATTTATGAAAATTAAATATTTAAGAAAATCACATAATTATTCTTTAAAGCTTCTTGATATGAAAAAACACCATTTTCTTTTTTCTATTTCATGAAGAATTAAACGCTTATTCGATAACTTATTCACTCAACACATAAGTTACTGACCATCTACTATACACCAGGAACAGCAATAAGCACTTGCAATATTACAGCAAATAATACAGACAAAAATTCCTGCTATCAAGGAGCTAACATTTGGCAGATAAACAAAATAAGTAAGTATATTAGATAGTGAAAAATGTGAAGGAGAAAAGAAATAAGCAGGTAAAAGGAATGAAATATCAGGAGGTTGGGAACAGTTGATTTTTTGATAGGAGATGATGTTAGGGAAAGACCCAAAGGAAGTTAGTAAGGGAGTTCACCATGCACATATCTGGAGGAAGAACATTTACACGCAAGAGAACTTCAAGTACAAAGGCTTTGAGGCAGGACCGCATAAGCTGAGAGAATGAAGGAAGAGTAATAGGACATGAAATTAGAAGAAATATTCTTGGTTGTAAGTAAGTCCATACGTATAATATGAAAGAAATTAGAGGAAATAATAGGCTTTAGAGAGGATGTGAGAGAGAGGAGTCAAGAAATTGCCAAGAGGTTTGGCCTGAACAACTGGAAAAATGGACTTGTCACTATCTGAGATAAATATGGCTCAGCAGTGGCTCACTCACGCCTATAATCCCAGAACTTTGGGAGGCCAAGGCAGGCAGATTGCTTGAGCCCAGCAATTCGAGACCAGCCTGGGCAACATGGGGAGACCCCAACTCTATAAAAATACCAAAAAAAAATTAGTTGGGCTTGTGGTGCACACCTGTAGTCCCAGCTACTCAGGAGGCTGAGGTGGGAGGATCGCTTGAGCCCAGGAGGTAGAGGTTGCAGTGAGCCGAGATGGCATCATTGCACTCCAGCCTGGGTGACAGAGCAAGATCCTGTAAAAAGAAAAGAAACACACAAGGAGTTGGTTTATCTGGGGCTAGGGGAATATATCAAGACTCAGTTTTGGACATGTTAAGTGTGAGATGTTGGCCAGTCACTGTGGCTCATGCCTGTAATCCCAGCACTTTGATTCAAGAGATCCTCCCACCTCAGCCTCCCAAGTAGCTGGGATTATAGGCGCATGCCACCATGCCTGGCTAATTTTTTTTGTATTTTTAGTAGAGACGAGGTTTCACCATGTTGGCTAGGCTGGTCTTGAAGTCCTAGCCTCAAGTGATCCACCTGTCTGGGCATCCTAAAGTGCTGGGATTACAGGTGTGAGCCACCGTCCCCAGCCATAAAATTAAATTAAAAAAAAAAAAGAAAAAATCAATTTAAAAGAAGTATGAGATGTCTGTTAGATATCCCGTGGAAATATCACCCAATGGAATGTATGAATCTGCAATTCAGAGGACACAGTTGGGCTAGAGATCTAAATGTGGGAGCCATCAGCATACTGATGGTGAGGCCATGACTCTAGATGAGATAATCTAGGGAGTAAATGAAAAAAAAAAAAGAGAAGGGATACAAGAACTGAGTCGTGGGGACTTGAAATATTTAAAGGTTATGGACGTGAAACTGGGAAAAAGTGGCCAAAAAGACAGGAGGAAATCAAGGGGGACAGTATCCTAAAGCCAAATACTGAAAATGCTTTAAAGAGGGAAGAGAAATCATCCGTATCAAA
Organism: Homo sapiens; assembly: GCF_000001405.40. Classification (NCBI taxonomy): domain Eukaryota; kingdom Metazoa; phylum Chordata; class Mammalia; order Primates; family Hominidae; genus Homo; species Homo sapiens. The sequence continues at coordinate 73,666,792 of NC_000014.9, read as the reverse complement.
AAATACGCTGATTCATCAACTAAGATGAGGACTGAGAAATGACCTCAGCAATTGGAGATAACAAATATATGCAACTTTTTCTAAGATAATCTCTAACCCCTTTTTGAAAAACTGCACATGAAAATGGTAACGAATGGCTAAAAAGACCATATTTATTACTGTATAAGGAAATAAATTATGATATCCAAAGTTAATAGATTAAGTGTTCTAACATAACATAATATATATTTTCCATATTTTATGTGCTGCATAAGTAGGGTACCACTAGAAGAAAAGTACTATTGTTTTCTTCATACAGTATCCTGATGAAAATCAAAACTGTGCTTTCAAGTTTTATGCTTATTTGTAACCTGTAACCTGAAGGAGTAAAGTATAGTTTTTCACCAAAGATAAATGGCAACAAAATTTATTTTCTAATCTTTAAGATTATTATTCATATTATACAGCTTTTTAGTCATGGTTTGAACATAGTCATATCAAGCAATTTTCTAGTCACAATTCTGGTACAATAAATATAAACTGCTATTAGGGTTGTTCTGCCTGATAAATCACCTGTTAAATAGGAATACCTATTTATTTCAGATCTTCTTATGATGGCATAATAGGTAAGACTATAGTGTCATGAAAGGAGATGGGTAGGAGGCAAGCTAAAGCATAACTTCAATCCTCATATGGATCAATTAGCTTCTTTTTGCTTCATAGTCACAGATAAAATGTATTCGCTAGCCACAGACTACATAAATTGTATTTGTAACTAGCAGAACTAAAATGAAATGAGCCAAATATAGCAAATACCTATACTCTCTGATTTTGTGTCTACAGCAGACATGAATAATTGATCAAGGTATTCGTTCCACTAAGTTTTTAGAACTCTTATTATTACAATTTTCCTGAGAGTCTCTACCAACTGACCCAAGTTAGAAAGTGATTTAAAACCCACTGCCAGCCCTACATAGAAGGTCATCCATTTTCACTATTATCATAGTCATTTTTTTTTTTTTTTGAGATGAGTCTCACTCTGTCACCCAGGCTGGAGTACAGTAGCGTGATCTCAGCTCACTGCAACCTCCGCCTCCCAGGTTCCAGCTATTCTCCTGCCTCAGCCTCCCACGTAGCTGGGATTACAGGCGCACGCCACCACACCTGGCTAATGTTTGTATTTTTAGTAGAGACAGGGTTTCACCACATTGGCCAGGCTGATCTCAAACTCCTGACCTCAGGTGATCCACCCGCCTCGGCCTCCCAAAGTGCTGGGATTACAGGTGTGAGCCACCGTGCCCAGCCCATAGTCATGTTTTTATATAAAGAAAATCATGTAATCTGTGATGATAAATAATATGTTATCAACTTGCTTAGTCACATTTAAGCAAGTTACAGAGCAAGTTATTAAGCAAGTTACTTCAATTACAGAGAAAAAAACTGAGGCAGAGAATAAAATGTAATAGCTTAAATTGTTTGAGTGAGTCAGCAAAAAATTAGAATAGACAGGCATCTCACACACAACTCTACTAGTTAACACTATGTAAATACCGAAGGCCAACTTTCCAGCACTGTATAAGTACTGAATGCCAACTTTGAGTAAGGTATGAGGGGTGGGGGTACTGAAATAGAAGATTAAAAGATTAATAAGATGATGCTTTTCCTCAAGGAATTCACTATCTAAAGAGCAGAACATATTCCCAAGTAACTATAATAATGGTTAATATTTATTGAGCATTTTATATGCACCAGGCACAATTCTAAGTACTCTATATATATACTAACTCAATCTTCACAATAATTATATGATAGGTAATTATTATTATAATCCAAGTAGACTGTTATGAATATTTCCAAAGGAGTAATTAATTTTGATGATGGAGATGAGGGAAGTCTTCAAGGAGGGGGTGACATTCACACGTGGCATTCGTAATTTTTTTTTATTTTTTTTTTTAGACAAGGTCTTGCTCTGTTGCACAGGCTGGAGTGCAGTAGCACCATCATAGCTTGCTGCAGACTCACTCTCCTGAGCTCAAGCAATCCTCCTCCTAAGTAGCTGGGACTACAGGCAAACACCACCATGCCCAGATAATTTTTAAAATTTTTAGTAGAGATGGGGGTCTCGCTATGTTGCCCAGGCTGGTCTCGAACTCCTAAGCTTAAGTGATCCACCTGCCTCAGCCTCCCAAAGTGCTGGGATTATAGGCATGAGCCATGGTACCTGGCTGCATTCTTAATCTTAATTTGTTATAGGATTTTCCTGTTACAGGAAAAAGCTGTTCTCAGTGAAAATTATTGCATTAATAAATGCTACAAAGTCATTTTTAAAATAGTGTATTTGGGTGTAAATTGGATACTAAAAGCTTTTAGATGACTTTTAATGCGACATCAAGGCATTTGGTCTTTACTAGGCAAAGAGATACCATTAAAAGGTCTCTGATATAATGATATTCAAATGATATTTTTAGAAAGAAAACTCTGTTATCAGTGATGAAGGTCACCTGAAGGGCAGAAAGACAGGAGGAAAGGAGATCAATTAGGAGGCTATTGAGGGAGAAGAAAAGGAGAAATCAGTTAAGTAAACAGTTAAGGCTGGTCCTTGGAAAAGCAGCCTGCCTGAAAAATCACAGCTACAGGCAAAAATATAACAGTCTGTGGAAAACTCAGGCTGCACCTGCACAGATAAGTATGTAGGGTCCAGCACAGATTCTTCTTTGTGTAATTGGTGGGCTCCCAGGAAAGTTTCTTCCCCTTTTCAGTTATGTACACAGTAGTCTCCCTGGGAACCTGTACAGGGAGGAGAGGGACTTACCTAAAACAAACCCACAATTATACAAAGAAGAGAAGCAGTGCTTTGATGCCTGCCTAGAGATACACCCACAACTACATAGATAAGGGGGAGTTGTGCAGACAGCTTTTCAAATAAGAGAAGTTACTCAAACAGCTACAGAGGTGAGAGGAGTTTCTTATAAAAGTTTTTGAATTCAGCTGTAAAAACAGCAACTCACTTGGGGTTCCCTTTCCACTGCAGAGAGCTTTCTTTTTTCACTCATTAAACTTTCACTGCAACCTCACCCTTTGCATCCACATTCCTTAACTTTCTCAGTCATGAGGCAATGAACTAGGATAACACCTTAGATAATGAGACCAGTGACCCTGACCTGTTTGACTATCACAAAAGTTGTAAGATAGTGTTTTTCAAACTATGGGTCATGAGCCTAAATTAATAGGTTGTGAAATCAATTTAGTGTGTTGTGATCAGCATTTAAAAAAAAAGAAATAAAAATTTAAAAATACATACTGGAACTGGCCAGGCGTGGTGGCTCACGCCTATAATCCCAGCACTTTGGGAGGCTGAGGTGGGTGGATCACTTTAGGTCAGGAGTTTGAGGCCAGCCTGGCCAACATGGTGAAACCCCATCTCCACTAAAAATACAAAAATTAGCCAGGCGTGGCGGTGGGCACCTGTAATCCCAGCTACTCAGGAGACTGAGGCAAGAGAATTGCTTGAACCTAGGAGGCGGAGGTTGTAGTGAGCTGAGATTGCACCACTGAAATCCAGCCTGGGCAACAGAGTGAGACTCCATCTCAAAAAAAAAAAAAAAAAAAAATTACTGGGACCTATGCTATATAAGGGTAAATACTGTCTTGCAAACTTTATTCAAGTTTATATGTACGTATATATTTGATATGCATATTCATATGAATGTATAATACATTCAGATGTATTTCTTACAATGGAAAGTGGTCAAAATGTTTGAAGAACATGACCTAAGGGGAAGATGATGAGGGTCTAAAAAGTTGTAACTCCTGGAAATGGAAAAGCAACACTTTATTTGAGAGCTCCTTCAAAGAGTAGAGTTAACAGGATTTAGTGATAAATTTGCATATAGGGCTTGAAGAGAGACTGTGGTAGGCTAAACAATGGCTCCCCCAAAGATACTTACATTCTAATGCCTGGAACCTGTGAACGTTACCTTATATGGCAAAAAAAAAAAAAAAAAAAGTACTTTGCAGATATGATTAAGGATCTTGAGAGACAGGGAGATTATCCTCAAGATCAGGGTGTGCCCTAATGCAATCACATGTATCCTCATAAGAGGGAGGCAGACAGAGATTTGACACAGAAGGAGAAGCCAGTGTGACTACTGGCAGAGACTGGAGTGATGAGTCACAAGCCAAGGAATGCAGCAGCCACCAGAAGCTGGAAGAGGCTAGAAAAAGATTCTCCTCCAGCCTCCAGAGGGAGCATGGCTTGATTTTCACCAGATGAAACTGATTTCAGACTTCTGGTCTCCAGAACCATAAGAGAATATATATCCATCATTTTAAGCCATCAAGTTACAGCAGCCGTAGGAAACTAATACAGAGTCAGAGGCCTTGGCAACTGGGAGGGAGGCAATGTCATTAACGAGGATAAGGAGCACAGGAAAAACAGGGATGATGAATTAAAATTTAAATATAACAAGTTTGAAATACAGACAATACAAATCTGAACAAAGAAATACACAATTAAAAATCTGATATTCTATTTAAGACATCTCAATTCTAACTCTATAAAAGCTTTTAAATGTCTTTAAAACGTTCAGAGCTCATGCTATCTCTATTTTTCTTTGGATAATCAAACTTAAGACATAGTTTATGTATTCTATTATCTGACAACAAGTATGGCTAAAACAGGTGCCAGCTTCTGGAATTACATATTGTCTCCGGAATGTTTATTAAAATAACTAGGAAATCCATGAACCATCTGTTACTGTGAATCACTTACTTAAGCCATTCAGGTTGGCAATTTTTTCAATGCAGTTTGTAGACAGTGAAAGCTTCCTTTAAAAGAACAAAGAAAAAATTTAATGTGAAAAATGTAAATGGTAAATCAGAAATTATTCCTTAACACTAGTGCCCATAAAAGATAATATTTAAGTAATATTTTCCCCACTCAATCATAGCATTTATTACTTCATTTTGAAATCATTGTTTTTCTCTGATTACCTAAGTTTAACACTCATTAAAAATTTGAAAAAATCTTCTTGAGGGCAATATGGTATTAACAATTTTTTTTTCTTCTTAAGACAGAGTCTCACTCTGCCACCCAAGCTGGAGTGCAGTGGCACCATTTCAGTTCACTGCAACTTCCACCTCCCCGGTTCAAGCAATTCTCCTGCCTCAGCCACCCAAGTAGCTGGGATTACAGGTGCCTGCTACCATGCCTGGCTAATTTTTGTATTTTCAGTGGAGACAGGGTTTCACCATGTTGGCCAAGCTGGTCTTGAACTCCTGACCTCAAGTGATCCACTTGCTTCGGCCTCCCAAAGTGCTGGGATTAGAGGTGTGAGCCACCACACCTGGCCCTGGTATTATGAAATTTTTTAATGCATACATTTCTTGACCAAGTTTTTCACTTCTAGAAATACATCCTACTGAAATATTAATATAAATGCCAAAAGATATATGAACTAGATTATATGTATTACTGGAATAGCAGAAAAATTGAAAAAATCTATAAACACCTGTTAACTTAGGAACAGATAGTGAAATACTAAGCTGCCACTAAAACAAAGGAGATAGGGCTACAGATACCGACTTGGGAAGATGTCTATGATACATAGTTTAAAAACCATCTAGCAGAACAATATATATATTTTTTTTTTAGACAGAGTCTCGCTCTGTGGCCCAGGCTGGAGTGCAGTGGCATGATCTCAGTTCACTGCGACCTCCGCCTCCCAGGTTCAAGCGATTTTCATGCCTCCGCCACCCAAGTAGCTGGGATTATGAGTGTGCGAGTCAGGTAAATGACTGGCCAAATCTGTATATTTTCTAGTCATCCCCCACTCCTGAGAACTCCCAGTGAATAATGGATTGCCTTTAAATCTAGGAATATGGTTGGGAAATAATTCTTTAATTCTTGTTAAGGCAGCTAGCACAAATAAATTGTCAGCAAAATATGAACAGGTTGACTCGAGGTGATATACAAGGTGCTTTAGTATGAGGTATAAAACCTTCTCAAATTTGTTTGCCTTTGAGATGGCTTTATGATAAAAAGATATGTGACCACTTTGAAATCATGCCTGATGCCAAAAAAGCATGTGGTGGTGGATTTTTATGTGACACACTGTGTTCTCATCACAAAGAACAAGCTGCGTACAAAAGCTAAATATGTTTGCTCTCCCCTTTGATCCCACAGATGGATATTAGTCTAATGCATGGGTTCACAAATATGTGTCCTAGAATTACCCAAGTTGCTTACTGTAAATGCAGATTCCTAGGTTTCATCAGCAAATATTCTGTTTCTATAAATTTGGGATGGGGCTGATCTCCTGCATAAAGTGCAGATGATCAAGGGATCACACTTAGACAAACACAGGGTGAAGAAATCAGAAAAAAACCCAGTGATTCTATGGTATACTATAGCCCTGATGAGACACACTTGTAGCCTAAAAACATGGTTTCAAGGCAACGTGGTATAATTGCCTCAAATTAGCCACAGAATCCTGCTAAAATACATGTATTGAGAAAATAAATTAAAAGAAACTACTATAGATCTGATATTTAAAGTCACAGGATATAGGATTACAAAATAAGTAGGCCAGGCACAATGGCTCATGCCTGTAGTCCCAGCACTTTGGGAGGCCAAGGTGGGTGGATCACTTGAGGTCAGGAGTTCGAGACCAGCCTGGCCAACATGGTGAAACCCCATCTCTACTAAAAATACAAAAAAAATTAGATGGGTGTGGTGGCAAGTGCCTGTAGTCCCAGCTACTTGGGAGGCTGAGGCAGGAGAATTGCTTGAACCCAGGAGGCAGAGGTTCCAATGAGCCGAGATCACAGCACTGCACTGCAGCCTGGGTGACAAAGAGTTTCTCAAAAAAATAAAGTATAATTTGATCCCAATTAGAATTTGTTTTTAAAAGTTAGAAGGCTCTACAAAAATGCTAGCACTGGTTCTCACACAGTGCTGTGATTTTGGTTGATGTTAATTCCTTTTCTTTGTGCTGCTTATATTTTCCAGATGTTTTATAATGTGTTTTTTATAATTTTAAACTTTTTTTTTAAGGGGTATCTCTTAGGCATGTAGTAAGAAAATACAGTTTTGACTTTGTGGATAATTTTACAAGAGAAAGTAGTAGATTTCATAAATGTCATAGTTTATTGTGGTGCTCACTTCAGCAGCCATGTACTAAACTGGAACGATAGATTAGCATGGCCCCTGCACAAGGATGACATACAATCGTGACGCATTCCATATTTAAAAAATATATAGTTTATTGTGTTATTTAGCTTCTCCCAAAAGACTAGGAGATGTATATTTTCAAACTCATTATAAAAACTGTACTAAAAATATTGTACTGTTTGGCTGGGCGTGGTGGCTCATGCTGGTAATCTCAGCACTTTGGGAGGCCGAGGTGGGCGGATCACAATGTCAGGAGATCAAGATCATCCTGGCTAACATGGTGAAACCCTATCTCTACTAAAAATACAAAAAAATTGCTGGGCGTGGTGGCATGTGCCTTGTAGTCTCAGCTACCCGGGAGGCTGAGGCAGGAGAACTGCTCGAACCCGGGAGGCGTAGGTTGCAGTGAGCCGAGATCATGCCATTGCACTCCAGCCTGGGCGACAGAGCCAGACCCCATCTCAAAAAAAAAAAAAAAAAATTGTACTATACTGTTCAATATTTTCTATTAATAATCCTATAAACCAGTCATTTTTCATGTTTGACCTTGCCAAAGAGAGAATTACACTAAGCAAACAAAAAATAAATGAAGACCACAGAAAACAAACATATTTTCCTACTTTGTGTGTTTAAGAAAAGAAAGGGAAACCTAACAGCAATACTGGAAGGATGAAAAGAGAACTTACTCGCAATTAGCAAGCATGGACAAGGATGCATCCATCTTCTCTATAGGGGGAATCTGGGCATAAAGTTTTATCTCTTTGGCTTCAGATGGCCTCTGGCCAGTTTTCTCTTCCTATGAGAAAAATACATTTGGAAGAAATAACCCATGATTGCAATGTGGAAACAAAAGAGGCCAGAATTTCCTAAGGCTTTTCCATGTTTATTTCAAGACAATTGCTAGAATTTAGCAAACTGTTTAATAATTCTTTACCATTAACTTATTGAAAACATTTACCTACTCACCCTGATAATCAGATTTATATGTGGCTGAATCAGATAACTATTAGGTCCCTACCAAATGAAAATGAGGAGAAAATAAAAAAACTTTTATTTTTGTGGTATTTAAAATTTGAAAATGACACAAACAAATGCAAAGATATCTCATATTCATGGATCAGAACAATTAATATAATTAAAATGACCATACTTCCCAATGCAAGCTACAGATTCAATGTAATTCCTATCAAAATACCAATGTCATTTTTCACAGAATAGAAAAAAATCCTAAAATTCATATGGAACCAAAAAAGAACACAAATAGCCAAAACAATCCTGAGCAAAAAGAACAAAATTGGATGTTATCACACTACCTGATTTCAAGATATATTATAAGGCGAACACAACCCAAACAGCACGGTATTGGTATAAAAGCAGATACACAGACCAATAGAATGGAATGGAGAATCCAGAAATAAGTCCATGTATTTACAGCCAACTGATTTTTGACAAAGGCACCAAGAAAATACATTGGGAAAAGGATACCCTCTTCAATAAATGGTGCTGGAAAAATTGGATATCCAAATGCAGACAAATGAAACTGGACCCCTTTCTCTCACCATATGCAAAAATCAACCATGATGAATTAAAGACTTAAAGGTAAGACTCAAAACTATAAAGCCACTGGAAGAAAATACAGGGAAAACACTTCAGGACATTGGTCTAGGAGAAGATTTTACGGCTAAGACCTCAAAAGCACAGGCAACAAAAACAAAAATAAACAATGGAACTAAAACTAAAAAGCTTCTGGGCAGGCGTAGTGGTGCACGCCTGTAATCCCAGCACTTCGGGAGGCCGAGGAGGGTGGATCACCTGAGGTCAGGAGTTTAAGACCAGCCTGGCTGACATGGTGAAACACTGCCTCTACTAAAAATACAAAAAAGTAGCCTGGTGTGGTGGCACGTGCCTGTAATCCCAGCTACGTGGGAGGCTGAGGCAGGAGAATTGCTTGAACCCGGGAGGCAGAGGTTGCAGTGAGCTGAGATCGTGCCATTGTACTCCAGCCTGGGCAACAGAGCGAGACTCCATCTCAAAATGTAAAAATAAAACTTCTGCACAGCAGAGGAAACAATAAACAGAGTGAGGAGAAAACCTGTTGAATGGGGGAAAATATTTGCAAACTATTCATCTGACGCAGGAACTCAACACAATGGTAAAATGACAAACAGGCACAGTGGCTCATGCCTGTAATACCAGCAATCTGGGAGGCCAAAGCAGGAGGACTGCTTGAGCCCAAGAGTTGGAAACCAGCCTGAGCAACATAGCAAGACCTCATTTCTATAAATAATTTAAAAATCAGCTAGATGTGGTGGCACACGACTGTGGTCCACCTACTTGGGAGGTGGAGGCTGAGGTGGGAGGATCACTTGAGCTCACTGCACTTCAGCCTGGAGGAACAGAGACCCTGTCCCCAGAAAAACAAACGAATTAACAAAACAAAACTAGAAGCTCAGGAGCCATTTCCTTTGTTTTCCTATGTTTTGTATAACCTACTGCAGTGTAAGACACACAAAACTCCTTTAAAAAACTTAAATCACCACATGTCAATAATAGAAAATAGGCCGGGCACAATGGCTCATGCCTATAATCCTAGCACTTTGGGAGGCTGAGCAGGGAGGATCACTTGAGCTCAGGAGTTTGAGACCAGCCTGGGCAATATAGTGAGACCCCGTCTATACTTTCACAGAATTAAATTAAAAGAAAAATAAAATATATTAAAATAATAATAATGATAGAAAATATACAATCAGTTGTAAAAAGATCTAATACATATCCACTCAGTGCTTATTTTTATGACATATATTTGTAGGTTAGAGGAGGAGAAATTGACATCTAGTAGATCCTCAATAAATGTTGGGTAAATCAATGAAAAAGTGAGATTGATGTCTTTGAATAATCTTAAAGTCAAAAATGCATGGGCCAGGCACAGTGGCTCATGCCTGTAATCCCAGCACCATGGGAGGCTGAGGCAAGAGGGTCACTTGAGCTCAGGAGTTCAAGACCAACCTGGGCAACATAATGAGACTCTGTCTCTACAACAACAGCAACAACAACAAATTAGCCAGGTGTGGTGATGATGCACACCTGTAGTCCCAGCTACTCAGGTGTTTGAGCCTAGGACACTGAGGCTGCAGTGAGCTATGATTGTGCCACTGCACTCCAGCCTGGGTGACAGAGCGAGACACTGTCTCAAAAAAAAAAAAAAAAAGTCAAAAATGTATGGCCATATTGTAATCTAGAAATAGACTCTACCAGCCAAAACAAAAAAAAACACTAGTTATTGTAAGTAAAATAAAATCTCAAAATCCAATTCAAGGAAAATGAAATCTGGTACTAAGTCTACTTCATATGCTTTTTTTCCTTAAGATTTTTCATTAAATATTTAACAAAACAGAAATAAATTATAAAATACATTTAAAGTAAATGAGAAATTTATAAGCACTAAAACAAGAATTCAAGTATTTCATTATTTTATCGACTTTTGTCTATTTTCCTCAGACACCAAAGCTTCTGAAAGCCTTTTTATTCAAAGCCTACTTACAGAAGCAAAAGGTACATTATTATGCAAAAAAACTACACTAGATCTTAGCCAAAAGGCAGAGAAGTGATGCAAAAAAACTACTGACAACATAGACAAATAAGTTTATGGGCACAGAAATTCAGGAGCCATCTTTGTACTCTATAGAAATTCTGTCTATAATGCTGAATTGTAACTGTTCAAACTTTATAGAATGTTATATAATACTGAAAATATAATTTATATATAATGCATGTCTTTTACAATGTAGTTTCCTTTCTAGTATTGCTGCTTGAGTATTCAGGGTTTTTTTCAGTTGTCTATGCATGATTTACATTGTCCACAATGATTGCCTCTGTACTAACCTCCACGAGGCTAAAACCACCTTCTAAAGCCTAGATAATCCACAACTCATATGACTCCAGCATATGAAAATGGTATGTAGCTTAGTGATGATAACAGTTGAAAAAGAAAATGTAGGCCGGGCGCGGTGGTTCACTCCTGTAATCCCAGCACTTTGGGAGGCTGAGGCAGGCAGATCACATGAGGTCAGGAGTTCGAGACCAGCCTGACCAACACGATGAAACACCATCTCTACTAAAAATACAAAAAAAATTAGCCGGGCATTGTGGCGCGTGCCTGTAATCCAGCTACTCGGGAGGCTGAGGCAGGAGAATCGCTTGAACCCGGGAGGCGGAGGTTGCAGTGAGCCGAGGTCACACCACTGCACTCCAGCCTGGGCGACAAGAGCGAAACTCCGTCTCAAAAAAAAAAAAAAAGAAAAGAAAAAGAAAAAGAAAATGTACTAACACAGAAATTCCAGCAATTTTATAGCAATAGGTAAAATTGGCCTTTCCATATTTAAATCTTCCAGTGGTCAGATTTTTTAAATTGAAATTTTTATTATGATATTTAAAGTTTGTCCAGTTCCCCCAAGGGTAACATTTTATGACTACAGTATAATATAACTATGGTATTGCTATTGATACAATCCACTGATTTTATTCAGATTTTCCCAAGTTTGCTTGTGCTCATGTGCATGTATGACTGTGTGTATGTGTGCATTAAGTTTTACACAATTTTATCATATGTGTAAGTTCATGCATCCACCACCATAGACAAGATAGCTGAATAGTTCCAATACCAAAAGGATCCTTTGTATTAAATAGCTAGATTTGAATAACTATCCAAAATTTTTCCTTGTACAGTTTCTAAAAGAAGGAAAAACTCATGTACTCACCCATCTCGCTAAGGCTTCTTTGATTGTTGTTGCTTTCGCCTTTAAAAAAAAAAAAAAGAAAGAAAAGAAAAAACAAAGTTGTATGTATGTATGAATGTATGTATGTATGTATGTATGTATTTATTTTGAGACAGAATCTTGCTCTGTCACCCAGGCTGGAGTGCAATGGCATGATTTCCGCTCACCACAACCTCTGCCTCCTGGGTTCAAGCGATTCTCCTGCCTCAGTCTCCCAAGTAGCTGGGACTACAGGTGCGCGCCACCACTCCCGGCTAATTTTTTGTATTTTTAGTAGAGATGGGGTTTCACCATGTTGGCCAGGGTGGTCTCGAACTCCTTGACCTCATGATCTGCCTCCCTCGGCCTCCTAAAGTGCTGGGATTACAGGCGTGAGCCACCGTGCCCAGCCCCAATTTGTCTTTATTGGTGTAATTTGTTGATTAACTTTTCAAGCAATAACTATTAGCCTTGGCTTCTACCATTAAAATGATTTCTTTCTTTGAGACTTTATATGCAAAGAGGACGTTTTAATTTCCTGAAATCAAAATGATTTAAATATCTCTGAGAAAAAATAAGGAAATCATTATGTAACACCCATACACTTCCCTCCCACTTGGTTTACAAAAAATATGTAGCTTTCAATACTTGATATTAAAATACATCTTATTTCATTGATTCTAAGGATCTACATCTTTCTTACATTTTAATATTGAAATTTGGATACATCTTATAATCAGTAACAATTTACAACTGCTGTGGGTAGGTGGCAGTGGTGAAATTTTAGAAAAATATTAACCACTTTATTTCATATCATATATTCCTTTTTATGTTTGCAAAGGATGAGGATAAAGGATAGGATAAAAATCTGTATGTCTACATACATTTAAAAGAACTCTATCAATAAGTACAAAATAAAAATTTTAAATGACAATAAAGTATTTGTCATAGTTCAATTCAAACCATTTTTTTCTTAGTAAAACATAAAATAATGTTGCATCTTATAATTAATAGCAGCTTAGATTCAATTTAATATATTTAAAACTCTAAAGGTACCCAACGGAAGATATCCTTAATGAATTACTGCTGGTGCTCTTTTTTTAAAAAAGAACCCCAAAGAATAACAAAAGAAAAGTTTTTAAACTATGTGAACAAATGTGAACCTGAAAGAATCAATTCTTCAAGACGAATCCTGAGTAGTTAACTGGGCCTAAATTTAAAACAGGGCCTAAGCTAGGCACAGTGTCTCACATCTGTAATCCCAGCACTTTGGGAGGCCAAGGTGGGAGGATCACTTGAGGCCAGGAGTTCAATACCAGCCTGGGCAACATAGAGAGACTCCATCTCTACAAAACAAAATTAAAAAAAAATTAGCCTGGCATGGTGGTGTATGCCTATAGTCCTAGCTATTTGGGAGGCTGAGGTGGGATGATCGATTGGACCCAAGAGTTCGAGGTTACAGTGAGGGATGATCGCACCACCACATTCCAGCCTGGGCAACAGGGCAAGCCTGTCTCTAAAAAAATTAAATTAGATTAAATCAAATTAATTAGAGCCAAACAGCCATCTGCTTACTAAAGGTCACACGCATACTCTGAGTTCCCCCCCAAAACACACCTCTGTTCAACTTTGGGACTTCCAGAGTTCATATGAACCAACCAATCAGAACTCACCTGAATCAACCAATCAGCTCACTTGACTCAACCAATCAAGGCCCAGCTGTATCAACAAACCAGAACTGAATGAGTTTGAATCCTTTATTTGCATAAACAGACCTGACTGAGAAGGTGGGCAGGAACTTTTGCTATAAAACTCAAGCCCTCCCTTTGTTCTCTGGAACACACCTTCCTTCTATACCTAAGGATGCATCTAGCCATATGCAAACTGTTCATTGAAATAAAGTCTCTTCCCTCCATTTTCCTTTTGAGAGAATTTTTGTTCACAAATATATACCATTATGTCTAGAAAGTAAAGACATACTAATAAGCAACCCTTGGGTTAAAAAGAAAATTATAAAATAATGAAAGAAAAAAAGTCAAAATTTGGGGAATATAATACTAAGAAGGAAACTTACAGATTCAAATATATTTGTCAAAAAATAAGAGATAGAAAACAAATGAGATAGGCGTTCACACATTTGGCAAAGTACATCATTACAAACCCAAAGAAGGTAGAAGGAAATACAAAGGAAAAAGTCAATGAAAAACAGAACGAGGGGATAAAATAATTAACAAAACTAAAAGTTGGTTCTTAAATCCCTGGCAAGCCTGATTGAGCAAAAAAGAAGGCAATACAAATTGAAAATATAAAATGAGCCAGGCATGGTGGTTCATGCCTGTAATCCCAGCGCTTTGGGAGGCTGAAGTAGGAGGACTGCTTGAGCCCAGGAGTTCGAGACCAGCCTGGGCAAGGCAGTGAGACTTTGTCTCTACAAAAAATAAAAAAAAATTAGACCGTGGTGGCACTGGGCGTGGTGGCACATGACTGTGGTGCCAGCTACTCTGGAGGCTGAGGTGGGAAGATCATTTGACCCAGGGAGAGAGGGTGCAGTGAGCCAAGATTGCACCACTACACTCCATCCTGGGCAACAGAGCAAGACCCTGTCTCAAAAAATGTATATAACCTGAACAACATAGCAAGACCCCGTCTCTACAAAAAAATACAAATATTAGCCAGGCATAGTGGAAGGCACCTGTAGTTACAGCTACTGGGGGGCTGGGGAACTGGGCAGGGGCTGAGGCGGGAGGACCACTAGAGCCCGGGAGGTCAGGGCTGCATGAGCCTAAATGGTGCCACTGCACTCAGCCTGGGTGACAAAGCAAGATCTTGTCTCAAAAAACAAACAAACAAAAACCACACATACACATATACAGAAAAAGAGAGAGAATACAGAGAAATAACTATAGACACAGAGATTTTAAAAATAAAATATGGCTGGGCACAGTGGCTCACGCCTGTAATCCTAGCACTTTGGGAGGCTGAGGCGGGTAGATCACTTGAGGTCAGGAGTTTGAGACCAGGCTGGCCAACATGGTGAAACCCCGTCTCTACTAAAAATACAAAACTTAGCTGGGCATGGTGATGTGCACCTGTATTTCCAGCTACTTGGGTGGCTGAGGCAGAAGAATTGTTTAAATCCAGGAGGTGGAGGTTGCAATGAGCCGAGATTGCGGCATTGCACTGCAGCCCGGGCAGCAGAGCAAGACTCTTGTCTCCAAAATAAAAAATAAATATCGTAAGCAAACATATGGCAATAAGGTTTAAAACCCAGACAAGGCATACATTTCTATAAAAAACATAAAAGTGTCAAAACTGTCATAAGAATCAAGAAAATTTGAATAGACCAATACTATTTAAAATATTAAAATGATAGATTTACCCTTATCCTCTTCCCCCAATACTCCAAGCCTAGACACTTTTACAATTGAGTTCTACTAAGCTTTCAAGGGTATTCCCTGTAACAAGTTGTTTCAGAAACCAGAAAAAGAGGGAAAGTTGCCAACTTATTTTAAGAGGCTAGTATAACCTTGATGCCATAACCACATAAGGAGCCCAATTTACTTTTCAACATGGATTTGAAAATCCTAGATACAATATTATATCTTCAAGCTGGACATGGTGGCTCATGCCTGCAATCCCAGCACTATGGGAAGCCAAGGCTGGAGGATCACTTGAGGCCAGGAGTTTGAGACCAGCCTGGACAACACAGCAAGACCCCATCTCTACAAAAAGAAAAAGAAACAGAAAAAAAAATATTAGATTGTCAAAGCCAATGGTGTTTATTGAACCATGATCAAGAATAGATTATCCCAAGAGTACAAGGAACACAACAAAAGAATCTATAAATATAACTAATTAATGGATTAGAGGGGAAAGTCACATTTATTTCAATAAGCATGGAAAAAGTACTTGATAAAGTTCTACATTTGATGTTAAAAGCTCTCAGCAGCTGGGTTTGGTGACACATGCCTGTAGTCCCAGCTACTCAGGAGGCTGAGGCAGAAGGACTGCTGGAGCCCATAATTGAAGGCCAGTCTAGGCAATATAGTAAGACCCCAGCTCTTTAAAAAATAAAATAAAAGCTCTCAGCTAAAAATTAAAGGGCAATTGCCTGGCCAGGCACAGTGGCTCACACCTGTAATCCCAGGACTTTTGGAGGCTGAGGTGGGAGGATTTCTTGAGGTCAGGAGTTTGAGAACAGCCTGGGCACCATAGCAAGACTCCCGTCTCCAAAAATAAAATAAAAAATAAATAAAAAGAAAGGGAAATTCCTTGATAAAAGCTATATAACAAAACTCTATAACAAACACCATACTTAATGGAGAAATGCATTTATTTCAGCAAATATTAATTGTCTATTATCTACCAAGCATTCCTCTATGTGTTTAGGTATATCAATGAACAAAACAGAGATTCCTGCCTTCATGGAGCTTACATCTATTAGAAGGAGCAGATGATAAAAATATATACAGTTGGCCCTCCATATCCTCAGGTTCCACATCTGCAGATTCAACCCACCAAGGATAGAAAACATGTGAAAAAAATCCACTAAAAAGTAACAATAACAACAATAAAAAATAATACAAATTGTAAAAACAATGGCCAGGTGCAGTGGCTCATGCCTATAATCCCAGTACTTTGGGAGGCTGAGGTCAGAGGATCACTTGAGGCCAAGAGTTGAAACTAGCCTGGACAATATAGTGACACCCCATCTCTACAAAAAATAAAGATAAAAAAATTAGCCAGGCAAGGTGGCATGTACCTGTAGTCCTAGGTACTCAGGAGGCTGAGGCAGGGGGACTATTTGAGCCCAGGAGTTCAAGGTTGCAGTGAGCCATGATTATGCTACTATACTCCAGCCTGGGCTACAGAGTTAGACCCTATCTCAAAACAAAACAAAACAAAACAAAAATACAGTATAACAACTATTTAAATAATATTTACATTGTATTGCATAGTATAAGTAACCTAGAGATGATTTAAAGTATACAGGAGGATGTGTGTAAGTTATATGCAAATACCACACCATTATATGTAAGGGACTTGAATGTCCATAGATTTCAGTATCCTAGGGAGTCCTGGAACCAATCCCACATGAATACCAAGGGAGAACTGCATACAATAAGAAAATTATATAGTATATTAGAAGGTAACAATTACTAAGGAAAAAGAAAACACTGGAGGTGAGTAAAGGGTATCAGAATGTATGTAAATGTGTGTGGAGGATGTTAGTTTCAAATAAAATGGTCAAAGTGGGCCTAACTAGGAAGGTAACATTAAATATATTCCCTTTAGAAATCTCAAACAGCCCGGGCGCGGTGGCTCACACCTGTAATCCCAGCACTTTGGGAGGCTGAGGCGGGCGGATCACGAGGTCAGGAGATCGAGACCATCCTGGCTATCATGGTGAAACCCCATCTCTACTAAAAATACAAAAAATGTGCCGGGCGTGGTGGCAGGCGCCTGTAGTCCCAGCTACTCGGGAGGCTGAGGCAGGAGAATGGCGTGAACCCGGGAGGCGGAGCTTGCCGTGAGCCGAGATCGCGCCACTGCACTCCAGCCCTGGCGACAGAGCGAGACTCCGTCTCAAAAAAAAAAAAAATGTCAAACACATCAGCCGGGCACTGTGGCTCATGCCTGTAATCCCAGCACTTTGGGAGGCTGAGCTGGGTGGATCATGAGGTCAAGAGTTCGAGACCAGCCTGGTCAACATGGGGAGACCCCCGTCTCTACTAAAAATATGAAAATTAGCCAGGCGTGGTGGCGGGTGCCTGTAATTCCAGCTATTCGGGAGGCTGACGAGGAGAATTGCTTGAACCCAGGTGGTGGAGGATGCAGTGAGCCCAGACTGCACCACTGCACTCCAGCCTGGGCAACAGAGTGAGACTCTGTCTCAAAAAAACAAAAACAAAAACAAATCTCAAGCACATCAAGGATCACTTCTAATCACCACTATGAATAATAATTATTATTTATAATAATTAATATATATATTTATTATTCTTCTGGCCGAGAGAAGATATTTTCAACATGAAACCAATGAGGACCAATATTTAGAATACACAAGGAATGCCTAAAATTCGAAAACAAAAAGAAAAATGGAAAAATTGGTAAAAATATGAACAGAAAATTCACAGAAACTGAAACCCAGATGACTAATAAGAATATCAAGAAGGCTGGGCATGGTGGCTCACGCTTGTAATCCCAGCATTTTGGGAGGCCGAGGTGGCCATATCGCCTGAGTCCAGGAATTCAAGACCAGCTTGGGCAACATGGAGAACCCTCTCTCTACTAAAAACACAAAAAAATTAGCCAGGAGTGGTGGTGCAGGCCTGTAGTCCCAACTACTCGCAGGGGCTGAGGTGGGAGGATCCCGGGAGGTGGAGGAGCCCTGATGGGGCCACTGCACTCCAGACCAGGCAACAGAGCAAGATCTTGTCCCCCCAAAAAACAAAAACAAACAAACAACAAATATATATATATATGAAATGAGGTGTTATAACACATCGAGAATCAGAAAAATGCAAAGTAAAACAATGGAATACTAAAACACACCCTCGGATTGGCAAAAGTTAGAAAATTGGTGAGCACATAAAGAAAGGGGAACTCTTGGCCAGGCGCGGTGGCTCACGCCTGCAATCCCACCATTTTGGGAGGCCTGGGTGGGCAGATCACTTGAGGTCAAGAGTTTGAGACCAGCCTGGCCAACATAGGGAAACTCCATCTCTACTGAAAATACAAAAATTAGCCGGGCGTGGTGGTGAGTGCCTGTAATCCCAGCTACTCGGGAGGCTGAAGCAGAAGAATCACTTGAGCCCTAGGGGCAGAGGCTGCAGTGAGCCGAGATTGTGCCACTGCACTCCAGCTTGGGCGACAGAACGAGACTCTGTATCAAAACGAACAAACAAGAAGAAATGGAACTCTCCTGCACTGCCGGAGGAAGTAAACACTGGTCAAGCCATTCTGGAAAGCAGCCTGAAAAGTACCTAGGCAAATTAAGTATACATAGACCCTATGACGGTACAATCCCACTCCTGGGTGTGTTTCCAAGAGAAATCTTTTGCATGGGTCCATAAAAAAGTATTTTCACAACACTGTTAGTAGAAAAAGAGTTGAAGCCATCTAGCTGTTTATTGCAGCAATATAAATTTGTATAAGGTTTAACTGGTTTTCCTATGGATAGAAGGAGTCAAAAACTCAAATGCCTGAAGGTCCTCATGGACTTAACTAATAAGTAAAACTGGCCAACTAAGGACAGGACTAGTGTAAAGAAGATAACCTCTACTCAGCTCCAGACAACTGTTAGCAGGTGGGACTTGGGGAAAAGAGCTACCCTAATACACCATACTTCTTCAAATTTAAAAACTCCATTGAGTAACACCTTTATTTTATGTATCATTAAGTAAGAAAAGATGCTGCCAGTTATAACACACTATATCTCAGTAATACGAAAATGTGAAAAAAAGTGTCCAATGGTGAAACATATTTCTTTTTCTTTTTCTTTTTCTTTTTTTTTTTTTTTTTGAGACAGAGTCTTGCTCTGTCGCCCAGGCTGGAGTGCAGTGGCTCAATCTCAGCTCACTGCAAGCTCCGCCTCCCGGGTTCACGCCATTCTCCTGCCTCAGCCTCCCGAGTAGCTAGGACTATAGGCGCCTACCACCACGCCTGGCTAATTTCTTTTTTTTTCTATTTTTAGTAGTGATGGGGTTTCACCATGATAGCCAGGATGGTCTCGATCTTCTGACCTCGTGATCCGCCCACCTCGGCCTACCAAAGTGCTGGAATTAAAGGTGTGAGCCACCGTGCCCTGCCCCAATATTTATTTTTCAAGAGAAATTGGAAATCTTGGTTTTAATGTGAAATATCATCATTTGAAGACATTGTCCTGAAGTGGCAGGTCATAAGGGGGAAAAAAAGACACTGAAAGATAAATTTTTTTAAATTGAAATACTATGTGGGTCAATATTTCTGGAGGGACCCAGGTCTGCTAGTTTGCAGACTAAGCCAGTTCTAAATACAGTCATGAGCTGCATAACAAGTTTCAGTTAACAACCAACCACATATAAGACAGTGGTTACATAAGATTGTAATACTGTAACTTTTCTATGTTTGTTTGTTTGTTTATTTGAGACAGGGTCTTGCTCTGTTGCTCAGGCTGGAGTGCAGTGGTGCGATCTCAGCTCACTGCAACCTCCACCTCCCAGGTTCAAGAGATTCTCATGCCTCAGCCTCCTGAGTAGCTGGGATTACAGCCACTCGCCACCATGCCCCGCTAATCTTTGTATTTTTAGTAGAGGCGGAGTTTCACCATGTTGGCCAGGTGGATCTTGAACTCCTGACCTCAGGTGATCTGCCCGCCTCGGCCTCACAAAGTGCTGGGATTACAGGCCTCTGGGATTACAGGTGTGAGCCACCACACCCTGGCCGCTTTTCTATGTTTAAATACACAAATACCTTGTTTCAACTGCCTACAGTATTCAGTATAGTAAAATGCTGTAAAACTTTGTAGCCTAGGAGCAATAGCCTACACCATCTGGTTTTTGTAAGCATATTCTATGATGTTTGCAAGGCAAAACTGCCAATAATGTGTTTGTTAGAATGTATCCCTGTCATCATTAAGTGACTTATAACTGTACTGGTTCTGATTCTCTATTTGAAGATTTTCAACAATCACCATGGTTCATACTTTCATAAATATTTAGGTCTGAGCCTTTCTTCACCTGAATATAAACCTAGGTTCCAGAACTTTTAACTTTCCTTGGCAGTGATTTTCAGCTAACTGCTTGGGGAACAAAGTAAGGAAAGCAGGGGGGAAACTACTTTTTAAAGAGTGGTATTTCATCTTGTTGAGGGCAGGCATGACTTCCTCATCATTTCCATCTCCTGGGCTCAATTTCTGCCCACTTATATAGCACTGGAATCACAAAAAGAAGACAAGTAATTATGCTTCTTCTTCATAAACATCTCTATCCAGTAGGACATCACATACTTTGCTCAATAGCTCTGGCTGGGTCTGCAATCCTTTTCAAACGACTAGTTAGAACTACCAAGTATGTAAGCAAGAGAGTGAACACATCAAGTAAGAGTTGAGGAGCATCTCTAGGTAAAACCATTACTTCATAAAGAGCTCTCATTGGATAGACAGCTGGTAGATTTCAAACCTAAGGCAACAGCATTTCTCAGTGTGGTGGGATGCCCTCCAATTTTATAATCACTTGAGGTGTGTTGTCGAAATGCACATTCCTGAAACCCCCAATCATATTAAAAATTCACAATCTGCATTCCAACAAGCCCATACCTATGCATACTGAAATTTGAGAATCACTGCTCTAATATATCCATCAGAGTGTGCTTTACAGTGTCACCTAATAACTGCCCTCGTAGTCATTCAGAAGGCAACCTGGGTACATCACAGGTTACGAAAACTGCTGCAATCCGTGTTATACAGAACCCTCTGGTAACCAGCCCCTCCCTGCATCTCGACGGGGGGGTCACTAAAATTACTTCTATGTAAAGAGATATCTTTATCTACACTCTCCTTCCCATCACCCTTCCCACTCCAATACGCTCTTTTTAGAGAATTTCCTGCTCTTCGCCCTCCCTTTTCTCCTGTCTGAGTCCCTCCACCTTAACCCAACCTCCGATCCACCCCAGGCCGCCCTCACCACAGACCACCCCCGGCCAGGGCTTCTCTTTCGCCTCGGGCCCCTGACTCCACAGAGCTAGCGTCAGCTACCGGCTCCCTTCCGCTGTTCAAGGACCCCCAGACCCTCAACACTCCACAGTCACCCTTTTCCACTCCCAATCTTCTCTCAGCTTTGGCTACGCGGCCCGAAAGGTACTCACCATTCCGGCGGTTGCTACTGTCACTGCTCTGGTTGCTAGGGCCCGCGGGGTCAGTGCGCGTGCGCACTTCTCGGCGCTCTCGGCGGAAGCCCTATCCCCGGCAGCGGTCCTTTCTCTCCGCCCTCAGGGTGGTGCGAGCGGGGCATTGTGGGACTGCGTGGCGGCCGCCGGGGTCCTCCCGTCCGGCTGTTGCTGGCTGCCCTTTTGCTTCCTTAGGTCTTAACCCCGCACAGGAGTAGTCAGGACCGAAAGCAATTTCAGCTGATCTGTAGTGACTTGTCCGCCTAAAGTTAAAAACCTTAAAACGTCCCCCTAACAACTACCCTTTTCATAAAATAATGTTCTTAATTCCTTTGCCCTAACGATGGCGTTTCCCACCCTTTTCCGGACGAGGGGAGAATAAGCGGCTTGCTGTAATTTCCCTCTCCATCCCATCCCACTGAGAATACCAGAGCCAAACTCCACCCATTTTATGTTTCTTTACCCCGGATCCTCCAGGGAGCCAGAGGCAGCTGAAAGCTCGGTTCCACATTTTAAATATCACAAATTGTTGGTTTTAATCACCAGGGTGTCTTTTTTTCCCCACCTACCAAATGAGCTAAAAATTATTAACAATAATAATAATTCATAGAGTTGCTAGGGGTATGGTGAAGTAGGGACACACAAATACGCTGCTGTTTATAATTGATACAGCCTTTCTGGAAGGCTGTTGGCTGTTCAAAAACTTTTGCACCCTTTGTGATCCAGCAGTTCCACTTCCAGGACTTTATCCTGAGCACAGAGATGTATGTTCAAAGCTTTAATAGAAAAAAAAAAATCAACTCAATTATCAACAAAAGAGAATTGGTGGCCGGGACTGGTGGCTCACGCCTGTAATCCTAGCACTTTAGGAGGCTGAGGAGGGCGGACCACTTGACCACTTGAGCCCAGCCTGGCCAACATGGTGAAACCCCGTCTCTACTAAAAATACAAAAATTAGCCGGGTGTGGTGGCACGCGCCTGTAGTCCCAGCAATTCCGGAGCCTGAGGCACGAGAATTGCTTGAACCCGGGAGGCGGAGGTTGCAGTGAGCCGAGATCGCGCCATTGCACTCCAGTCTGGGCAACAAGAGTGACACTCCGTCTCAAAACAAACAAACAAACAAACAAAAAGAGAGAGAAAATTGGTTAGTAGTATTGAACATCCAATGCAATAATGTACTTACACTAAAAAAGTACAATTGACTTGCTGAAAGGCATCTATTCACATCCAAAGATAGTCATATTTCAAGTAAAAATAGAAGTTACCAAACAAAATAGTTGGTACGATTTTCCTTTAAAATTATACATAGTGGCCTGGTGCAGTTTGTTCATGCCTGTAATCCCAGAAATTTGGGAGGCCAAAGTAAGAGGATCCCTTGAACCCAGGAGTTCAAGACCAGCCTGGGCAACGTAACAAGACCCTGGCTCTGTAAAAAATAAAAATTAGCGAGGCATGGTGGTACAACACCCATAGTCCCAGCTACTGGGGAGACTGAAGCAGGAGGATCATTTGAGGAGTTTGAGGCTTAGGTGAGCTCTAATTGTGCCATTGCACTCCACCCTGGGCAACAGAGCCAGACCCTGTCTCTAAAACAAAAAACAAAGCAAAAAAATGGAAAAGTTATACATAGTACACACACGTATATAAACATATATCTAAAAGGATATTATGAGGGTTTAATGTTTGCTGTGGACTGAGTGGTGGTACACCAAAATTCATATGTAGTGATCTGGTAAGTTTAAGTTCTTTGATACTTTCTGAGATGTCTGGGGGATACCTAAATTTTAAGCTTTAAAACCGGAAGGGTCAATTTCTATGTTTATTTTTTAAAAAACTGTCTATGGGACTATTGGATAGGTTTCAAAATCTTGGTACACTTCACATAAAGAACATTTTGAGTTCCAGATTCTCAAAGGTTAAAAACATTCACACAGAAAATAAAAGAATTATATAACTTGGACCCTTCTTTTGTTCTTTCATATCCTACAAAATGACAAAATAGATTCCAAAACCTGTTCACCAGAGAATGTGTGGGTCTGCTTGCTCTTATTTCAGGCCTGGATAAAATAAGTTGAAAGAAAGTTTAAAAATAGTATTGAAGGCCGAGCGTGGTGGCTCACGCCTGTAATCCCAGCACTTTGGGAAGCCGAGGCAGGCAGATCACCTGAGGCCGGGAGTTCCAGACCAGCTTGACCAACATGGAGAAACCCCGTCTCTACTAAAAATACAAAATTAGTTGGGCGTGGTGGCGCATACCTGTAATCCCAGTTACTCTGGAGGCTGAGGCAGGAGAATCGCTTGAACCCTGGAGGCGGAGGTTACAGTGAGCCAAGATCGCACCATTGCACTCCAGCCTGGGCAACAAGAGTGAAACTCTGTCTCAAAAATAAATAAATAAATAAATAGTATTGAAACAGTGTTCCCTAATTCAGAATATCTAGCAGACCCTTTGAAAAGTATAAGTAAAATAGTGTTAAATGATACAAAACAGAACCAAATAGAATATGTTAAGAAATCTTTAACTTTTAGGGCCTGACACAGTGGCTCACACCTGTAATCCCAGCACTTTGGGAGGCCGAGGCGGGCAGATCACTTGAGGTCAGGCGTTCGAGACTACCCTGTCCAACATGGCAAAACCCCGTCTCCACTAAAAACACAAAAATTAGCTGGGCATGGTGGCTCATGCCTGTATTCCCAGCTACTCGAGTGGCTGAGGCAGGAGAATTGCCTGAACCCAGGAGGCAGAGGTTGCAGTGAGCCAAGATTGCGCCACTGTACTCTAGCATGGGCGACAGAACGAGAACCTGTCTCAAAACAAAACAAAGAAATCTTTAATTTTTAAGCAAAAATGTGGACCAAACAAAAGAGAAGAAAAAATTGTCACATTTAAGAAATGAGTTAGAGATTAAGCAAAATAGTTAAAAGTTACATACCTTAAAATTGTAAAGAACTTAAACCCTAGGATAGGCACTAATTCTTAAGGTTGTTTATATAATAGAGAAGTTTATCAATTCAAATTAGAATTAGCTGACTGGGTGCAGTGGCTCATACCTATAATCCCAGCACTTTGGGAGGCCAAGGCAGGAGGATGGCTTGAGGCTGGGAGTTCAAGACCAGGCAGGGTAACATAGCGAGACCCCATCTTTAACAAAAAAAAAAAAAAAAAAAAAAAAGAAAAGAAAAATTAGCTGGGCATGGCAGCATGAGCCTGTAGTACCAGCTACTCAGGAGGCTGAAGTGGAAGAATCACTTGAGCCCGGGAGGTCAAGGCTGCAGTGAGCCATGATCATGCCAGTGCATTCCAGCCTGGGCAACAGAGCGAGACTCTGTCTCAAAAAAATAAATAAATAAAAAATAAAAATAAAATAAAATAAATCTTGACCAGGCATGATGGCTCATGCACTGCATTGCAGCCTGGGCAACAATAAACCTCATTTTAAAATCTTACACAAGGGCCAGGCATGGTGGCGCACGCCTGTAATCCCAGCACTTTGGGAGACCAAGGCAGGTGGATCACTGGAGGTCAGGAGTTTGAGACCAGCCTGGCCAACGTGGTGAAACCCCATCTCTACTAAAAATACAAAAATTAGCCGGGCATGGTGGTGCACGCCTGTAGTTCCAGCTACTCAGGAGGCTGAGGCAAAATAATCGCTTGAACCCGGGAGGTGGAGGTTGCAGTGAGCTGAGATCGCGCCACTGCACTCCACCCTGGGTGACAAAAGCGAGACTCAGACTCAAAAAATAAAGAACAAAATCTTACACAAAAACCCCTGAAATCAGGAAGTGGTGTTTACACACACACACACACACCTTTTTTTTCAGTTTTTGGAGACAATGTCTCACTTGGTTGCCCAGGCTAGATAGGCTGGCATGTAGTGGTGTGATCACAGCTCACTGTAGCCTCAACCCCACAGGCTCAGACGATCCTCCTTGCCTCAGCCTCCCAAATAGCTAGGACTGTAGGCATGTGTTATCACCCCCAGCTAAATTTTAAATTTTTTTGTAGAGACTGGGGTCTTGCTATGTTGTCCAGGCTGGTCTTGAACACCTGAGCTCAAGCAAACCACCCACCTTAGCCTCCCAAAGTGCTGGGATTACAGGCCTAAACCACCTCACCAAAGCCTGTATTTTTTCTTGATGTTAATAATTTGAAACTTGTATTCAATTTTAAAAATAATGTTAATTTGGGGAAAACTATTTAATAATACTATAAATTAGGGCAACAACTCTTCAACCTCTGCCAACAAGACGCCTCGCAAACCACTTTTTTTTTTTTAGATAAGAGTCTCACTCTATCACCCAGGCTGGAATGCAGTAGACCAATCGCGGCTCACTGCAACCTTGGCCTTCCAGGTTCAAGCGATCCTCCCACCTCAGCCTCTCAATTATCTGGAACCATAAAAGTGTGCCACCACACCTGGATAATTTTTTGTATTTTTGATAGAGACGAGGTTTTGCCATGATCCCCAGGCTGGTTTTGAACTGCTGAGCTCAAGCGATCTGCCCACCTCGGCCTCCCAAAGTGCTGGGATTACAGGTGTGAGCCACCGTGCCCAGCCGCAAACCAGTCGTAAGCACAAGATTACTGATCAACCAAAATCAAAGTCTAGTAATTAATATCGTTACCTTTCCCTTCAAATATGTAAAGACAAATGGCAACTGCAAAACTAAAACTAAATTATAATGAGGACCAGAACTTTTAACATGTTTCAATTCTATACATTTTAAGTGTTTAGAATAAAAACTCATAACTTCATCTAAGATTATTCTAACAAGTTAAAGCTCACCCACAAACTGTAATTAAGTTTTTGGTGGAGAAGGTGGAAGGTGGAAGGGATAAACTCTGTCTTTCCCTCAGATAATTACATTGTCTACATGTGTAATTATCAATTTGCAACTAGAACCTAGGACCTGCCTGTTTTAAAATATAATTTTAAACAAAAGTGTGAAGGAAAGTTTTTAAAATTACACCAAGATAAGAGAACTTTGGAGAATCAAAGCAAGTGTTTCTCAGTAATTAGTTGCCATTCTAAAGACAAATATCTTAGAGTTCCCAGCTTTCTCTAAAGATCCTGGAACAGGGTGCAGCTAGACACATATCAAAATCTGATTAACAGCAGAAAATATTCTGTGACTTCAGTCCACCACCAACTAGCCTCTGAGTCATCCTACTAGAATTCACTCTAGCCTCTGACTATTATGAGAAAATTATCATAACCCAGTTGTTCCTCATCACAAAACCAGGGGCCTATATGCATGTATTCACCCCTGGTCAAAACATATCTAAAACGGCTGGGCGCGATGGCTCACGCCTGTAATCCCAACACTTTGGGAGGCTGAAGTGAGTGGATCATTTGAGGTCAGGAGTTTGAGAACAGCCTGGCCAACATGGTGAAACCCCATCTCTACTAAAATACAAAAATTAGCTGGGCATGGTGGGAGGCACCTGTAATCCCAGCTACTTGGGAGGCTGAGGCAGGAGAATCACTTGAACTCGGGAGGTGGAGGTTTCAGTAAGCCAAGATCAAGCCACTGCACTCCAGCCTGGGCAACAGAGCAAGACTCTATCTCAAAAGAAAGAAAGAAAGAAACACATATCTAAAACTTCTGGGACAGATACAACAAACAAATAGTCATACACCGGTTTTTTAGATCTTTGGAGGTACAGAAGGTGGCAGGAAGAGTAGGTGGGAAAGGTGGGTAAGTGGCAGCTTGAAAGCTGGCTTTCGGTTAGCAATTACCTTGAAATAAAGCTCAAACAAACCAAACATAGAGAAATATGGATAGTTCCAAAGCTGCGGGCTGTGATGAACTTGAATTTAGCATTTTTATTTCTTTTAAAAGCTTGCAGATGACCATGAAAAGTTCAGATCTCAGTCATTTTTTGATAAAAATATTCAGTCTGTCTCTGGATTTGCTCTGAAGCATAACTAAATTTAAGTGTCTAGCCCAGTGAGGCTGCACATTCCTGTAATCCTAGCACTTTGGAAGGGTGAGGCGGGAGGACTGCTTGAGGCCAGGAGTTCAAGACCAGCCTGGGCAACAGAGCAAAACTCCCCCTGCCTCTTAAATAAATGAATAAATTTAATTGTCTAGTTAGCCTTTACCCTAAGTGCAACTGCAAAAACTCCAAGATCTTCCAAGACTCAATCTGAGCAATAGCATGAGCTTTGAGCTGCCCCCACTCCCAAAATAGGCACCCTCAATACAGGATCCAGGGCTACAGAGAAAAAAGGACTGTAAGGGGGAATCTATTCTGTGGCCAGCACCGGAATAGCTTAAAAGAGTAAAATTTGTCTTCCCATGTTCTTTGAGACACTTCACAGCTATGTCAGTATAAACAGAGCTCTTCCAACGCTTGTTATCCTCTCCAACAATAAAAAGGAAATGGGCATTGGCTTTTTCTTTTTTTCTTTTTCTTTTCTTTCTTTTTTTTTTTTTTTTGAGACAGAGTCTCGCACTGTAGGCCAGGCTGGAGTGCAGTGGCACGATCTCAGCTCACTGCAACCTCCGCCTCCTGGGCTCAAGCAATTCTCCTGCCTTAGCCTCCCGAGTAGCTGGGATTACAGGCATGTGCCACCATGCCCGGCTAATTTTTGTATTTTTAATAGAGATAGGGTTTCACCATGTTGGCCAGGTTGGTCTCGAACTCCTGACCTCAGGTAATCCACCCGCCTCGGCCTCCCAAAGTGCTGGGATTACAGACGTGAGCCACTGCGCCCAGCCAGCACTGGCTTTTTTAAGAGGGATACAGCTTTTTTGATAGGCTTGTCCAAGGGGTCTTCCAGTGCTTCTTTAACCGTATACTCCTCAATCAGTGGCAGAGATTCTGTCTAGGTTAAAAGGCAGTCCTAGCAGGATCAAGCTACCACAGGTAGGGCGTAGTTGTGTTTGAGATGCAGCCACTGATGGTCACGACCACAGCTATATTTGGGAGAAAGCTAGCCATGGAAAATGCCAACTCTGACCCTTTGCCTGAGCCAATCACTGCAATGTTTGGACCTTTGACCTGCAGACTGAAGAAAAAGAAGGCAAACACGGAAAGAGACAAAGGAAAAATGAAGCATAATTGTTAATGGGATCACCAAAGTCCTCAATAAAGGAAAGTCCTTTTTTTTTTTTTTTTTCTTTTGAGACAGAGTTTCGCTCTTGTTGCCCAGGCTGGAGTGCAATGGTGCAATCTGGGCTCACTGCAACGTCTGCCTCCCAGGTTCAAGCAATTTTCCTGCCTCAGCCTCCCAAATAGCTGGGATTACAGGCATGCTCCACCAAGCCGGCTAATTTTGTATTTTTAGTAGAGATGGGGTTTCTCCATGTTAATCAGGCTGATCTTGAACTTCCAACTTCAGATGATCCGCCCACCTCAGCCTCCCAAAGTGCTGGGATTACAGGCGTGAGCCACTGTGCCTGGCCAGAAAGTCTTTTATGAGTTTTTTAGAGTTATCAGACAGCTCTAGTATTTATTTATTAATTCAACAGGTATTTGTTGCAGGTATTTTCCAACCCATTAGTAACACTTCCTTTATTCACTCTCTTCTGGAGTAATTCATTCATTTCTCTCATACCACTCACCTTTGGGTGACTTTGCACAAATTTAACTGCCTCTTCAAAGTAATCTAAGTTTAAGTCTTTCATGGCTGGAGGTAGATCTTCATAGCCAAAAAATGGCAAAGCAGAGTAGCAAAACCTCAACAAGCCAGGAGACTTGCTCAAGATTCACTTAATCCTCCATCACCAAATATATCAATGAGACCAGCAAAAGGACCATCATCTATAACCCAGGAAAGGGAATGAATCTTGGGTTAGATGACAGAACATTTACCTAGCCAACATTTTCTAAATGAAAATTAGATTGTATAATTTATCTTTTTTTAAAAAAACTACCTACTTGCTTTGAAAAGAAAACATCTGTTTTGTGGAAATGGATTTATTATTGTGGTTGAAATAGACATTTATTTGAGCTATTTTGATTCTATAAATGTAAAAATATTTTTATATTTTTTTCCCTGTGAGTTAATCACTGGTAAATGGAAAAAAAGAAAAAGAAAAATCGCACCAAATATATGGGAAGTGTTTTGGTTTGAAGTACAAGTCCTGATAAGTCTAAGCAAATAGTTCTGCAAGCTTTGAGTTATGTAAGAATAAAAATCTCCTTTTTTTTTTCTTTTTTTAGACAGGGTTTCACTCCCATAGCCCAGGCTGGAATGCAGTGGCATAGTCTGGACTCACTGCAACCTCCACACCTCCCGGGCTCAAGCAATTCTTGTGCCCCACTGCACCCTGCTAATTTTTGTAGAGACAAGGTTTCTGCCATGTTGGCCAGGCTGGTCTTGAACTCCTGACCTCAGGCGATCCACCCACCTCAGCCTCCGAAAGTGCTGGGATTACAGGGGTAAGCCACCGTGCTGGCCGGATGTCTGCTTTTGTTTGTTCGTTTGTTTGTTTGAGAGACGGAGTCTTGATCTGTTGCCCAGGCTAAGGTACAGTGGTGCGATCTCAGCTCACTACAACCTCCACCTGCCAGGTTCAAGCGATTCTCCTGCCTCAGCTTCCCAAGTAGCTGGGACTACAGGTGTGTGCCACCATGCCCAGCTAATTTTTGTATTTTTTAGTAGAGACGGGGTTTCACTACACGTTGGCCAGGCTGGTCTCAAACTGCTGACCTCAGGTGATCTGCCCGCCTCGGCCTCTCAAAGTGCTGAGATTACAGGCGTGAGCCACTGCATCCGGCTGGATGTCTGGTTTTTAGCATGAGATTTTTAAAGCCAGGTACAGTGGCTCATGCCTGTAATCCCAGCACTTTGGGAGGCCGAGGTGAGCAGATCATTTGAGGTCGGGAGTTCGAGACCAGCCTGGTCATCATGGTGAAACCCCAAAAACCCATCTCTACTAAAAATACAAAAAACTAGCTGGTTGTGGTGGTGCATGCCTGTGATCCCAGCTAGTCGGGAGGCTGAGGTGGGAGAACCGCTTCAACTTGGGTGACGGAGGTTGCAGTGAGCTGAGATCTCACCACTGCACTCTAGCCTGGGCAACAGAGTGAGACTACGTCTCAAAAAACAAACAAAGAATCAAAAAACAAAAACAAACCCAGACATCCAAATTTAAAGGGCCCTTTGATTTCTCAATAAATTTAAGATATAGTCAGAGTCACCAGAATCCATAATTTGACAGGGATTAAACTGTTTTAAAGGTCTAATGAAGGTGTACTATAAAATGAACTACATGTGTGAAGAGATAGTAAAATGTCAAACTAATATCCTCCCAACGTTGGTCTATTATTTCTCTTTCAACAGTCCTGTTGGGGATGTTTTATTCCTTCACTATTCCAAGAGAAGAATTTATCGGCCAATTGTTTCCTGGTATTTTTCAGATATATTCCTTTGTTATTCCAATTAAAGTAAAAGTGGCTGGGCAGAGTGGTGAGATCCTGTAGTTCCAGCTACTTGGGAGGCTGAGGTGGGAGAATCGCTTCAGCCCTGGAAGGGAGGTTGCAGTGAGCCGTGACAGTGCCACTGCACTCCAGCCAGGGTGACAGAGTGAGACCCTGTCTCAAATAATAATAATAATAATAATAATAATAATAATAATAATAATAATAATAAAGCCAGGCTCAGTTGTGTGTGTCTGTAATCCCAGTACTTTGAGAAGTTGAGGTGGGAGGACTGCTTAAGGCCAGGAGTTCAAGACCAGTCTGGGCAGCATAGCAAGACCCTATCTCTAAAAAAACAAAAAGGTTAAAATGAGGCCATGTACGCCTGTAATCCCAGCACTTTGAGAAGATGAGGTGGAAGGATCACTTGAGCCCAGAAGGTCGAGGCTGCAATAAGCTATCATGATGCCATTGCACTCCAGCCTGGGTGACAGAGCAAGACCTAGTCTCTAAAAAAATAAGAATTTAAAAAAGAAAGATGGCTGGGTGTGGTGGTTCACACCTGTAATCCCAACACTTGGGGAGGCCAAGGTGGGAGGATCGCTGGAGCCCACGAGTTCAAGACCAGGCTGGGCAACGTAGGGAAACCCTGTCTCTACAAAAAATAAAAAAAAAATTTACCTGGGTGGCACATGGCTGCTGTCCCAGCTACTCTACTCTGAAGGCTGAGGTGGGAGGATCGCTTGGGCTCAGGAGGTTGAGACTGCTGTAAGCAAACAAAAGCATTTAATGCTAGAAACTTTGCAGCAATCTTATGCTTAATATAGCAAACACGCAGGGTCTATGCTCCTAAGGAATAGCGTATGCAGCACTAGGACTCTGGCGGGTGAGCAGCTGGCAGAAGAAAGGTGCATAAGCAGATGAAATTTGGATCCTAGCCACCATCTAGGGGAATGAATGTTCCACTTGAAGTCTAGGAGACAAAATAAAGGGATTAAGGAGCTCGCTTTGTTTTCAGATGACAAACCAGCTAGCAAAGCAAGCCAGTCGATTCCCTCACTCTGCTGTCAGGCACTCTGCGGAAAAGGGCCCCCGCACCTGATGGCAGCAGGAAGACCCCCCGCAGGCGGCCGGCTCGCAGGCGCGCGGCGCAGCTCGGGGATGGAGAACCAGCGCTGCACCTGGGCCGAGGCCAGCGCCGGACTCAGCGGCGCCGCCTGCTGCAGCGGCGTTAGGTGGATGGTCACCTCCACTATGAGGGGGTTTTTCAAGGCGGCCCTCCGCATTCGACTGAGGCGTGGATCCTTCGAAGCGGCCGGCATGAGGCTCCACAGGAGCCCCATGGGCCCCACGCCCGTGAAGTCGCCTCCTAGAGCCAGGTCCCCGGCCAGGTCCAGCCCCCCGCCGCTGTCCACCTCGTAGTGGGCAAGGGAGTGGAAGAGGCGGCCTCGGTGGCTGACGCCCGACACCTGCAGGGTCACCGGCTCCCCCGAGCCCAAGCCTTCTGCTTTCATATCCAGGCACTTGTCGGCCAGCCCAGTCTTGGGCGTGACGGTCAGGGTCGCGGCCTTTTGGGAGAAAAAGGACGATGTGGATATCGGCCTCCAGGCCTGGAGGGGGACCCCAGAGGCTCGGAGCGCTGCCCGGACCGCCGGCCACATGGTCCGGGACTGTCGCGGCTTTGACCTCCGCCAAGGTCGAGGCGGCCTGGCACTGGCGGCCGAGGTTCCGCGCTGAAGAGGAGGGAGGAGGGGGGCCCGGCCTGGCAGGTCGTGGCCCTGTGGGGCAAAACCCTGCAGGGCCACGTGATGGGACCTGGGCTGGTCCCTGCGGCGCCACTTAGCAACGGGCTGCAAGAAGAGACGACTTCGGAGGGCCCAGGGTCCTTTGAGCTCCTAGAGGTCCCGTGTGGAACCATCTGGAAGAGGTAGGATCCCCTCGCGAGTTTACCCCGGACGTGTGGCGAATAAAGTTAAGCATTTTTAACGGTAAGTGCCGGCCTCTGGCCGCCTCTGAATTTCCTCACTGGCCACCAGGGGTCAATATTCCCTAAGCCTGATTGAAGGAGGCCAAGTGTGCTAGGGTCCTAACAAATTCCTTTCCTCCGTTTTAAGTAATCTTTGTCCTGGATTAAGAAAGACTATCAAAGTTAAAGTTTAAACGTTTCCGATGAGATACTGAATTGAACTATAAAATAGTAGGGATTGATAATAGAAACTGGTGGAGAGACACTTCCCCAACTTGAATGCCAGCAAAGACCTAAAACGAGCCCAGCGGGGACATAGGGGATGAGCTCAGGAGGGAGCATAAATTTTGCTTTTTCATTCAGAAAGTGGAACTACAGGACAGCCCGCAGTGGCTCACGCCTGTAATCCCAGCACTTTAGGAGGCCGAAGCGGATGGATCACGTGAGGTCAGGAGTTCGAGACCAGCCTGGCCAGAATGGTGAAACCAAATCTCTACTAAAAATTCAAAAATTAGCCAGGCGTGGTGGCAGGCACCTGTAATCCCAGCTACTCGGGAGGCTGAGGCGAGAGAATCGCATGAAACCGGGAGGCGGAGGCTGCAGTGAGCCGATATTGTGCCATTGCACTCCAGCTTGGGGGACAGAATGAGACCCCATCTCAAAAAAAAAAAAAAAGAGAGAGAGAGAGAGAGAAAGCTGAATTACAGATATATACCCTAAGGAAATAAGTTCTATTGTCCTGTGGACTGGAACAAGTGTTAACAATGTATATTTTTTGTATGCAGAAGAAAAGCTTACAAGTATATTACATTTCTTCTTCTTCTTTTTTTTTTTTTTTTGAGACAGGGTCTCACTCTGTCACCCAGGCTGGAGTGCAATGGCGTGATCTTGGCTCACTGCAACCTCCACTTCCCGGGTTCAAGTGATTCTCCTACCTCAGCCTCCCTAGTAGCTGGGATTATAGGCGCAAACCACTGCATCTGGCTAATTTTTGTATTTTTAGTAGAGATGGGGTTTCACCATGTTGGCCAGGCTGGTCTTGAACTCCTGACCTCAGGTGATCCCCCTGCCTTGGCCTCCCAAAGTGCTGGGATTACAGGCATGAGCCACTGCCCCCAGCCAAGTATATTACATTTCTGTTTTTTTAAGAGAGAGAAAAGGCCTTGAACCCACAAAATAAAACCATAGTTTTTCATTCATACATATGAATATTGTATTTTGTATATATATACAAAATGGTTCTGGAATGGTTCTGGAAGGAAACACTTCAAACTGGTAATAGTAACTACCCTTGGGAGAAGACTGAGATTGGGTAATGAGTTAAGAGGACCTTTTATTTTATCTGTATTACTTGAATCTTTCACAGTGAAGAAAGTATTGATATATGTAATTTAAAATTTGTTTTCCGGCTAGGCATGGTGGCTCATGCCTGTAATCCCAGCATTTTGGGAGACAGAGGCAGAAGGATCACTTTGAGGCCAGGAGTTCAAGACCACCCTGGGCAACATAACGAGACCCCCATCTCTACAAATTTCCTTTTCTTTTTTTTTTTTTAAACCACCACAGCACTGAGTTTTATTAGGGATTTCATTAAGGTTAAATTTATAGGAATGAGGGAGTCTTAGTTAGAGGGCGCAAAAGCCCACAAAGCCTCCTGGTATCCATAGTCAACCACTGGCTCAGGTTCTTTGGAGAGATCGCCACCTTGTTCCAGGTACAGATTATTG
Organism: Homo sapiens; assembly: GCF_000001405.40. Lineage (NCBI taxonomy): Eukaryota > Metazoa > Chordata > Mammalia > Primates > Hominidae > Homo > Homo sapiens. The sequence goes on along the minus strand of NC_000014.9, from coordinate 73,631,955 downwards.
CAAGGACACTGTTTTGGTCCCACGGGCTGGTAGACAGGGTAAATCACCCCCACCCAGAACATGAACATCATGAAAGCCACAGAGCCGAAGAGCTGTATACACATGATATTCCAAGAAACAGGTGTGGGGGACATAGCTACATGGTTCCTGATATGCATGTCTAGGTGCCAGTGTATCCCCAGTTCAACCTCAGGCCAGGTGGTCTCAGTTATACCACAGATCCCTCTTCTGCTATAAGTGGTCAGGGAGCTTCAGGTAGTCCCCATACCCCATGCCGTCATTCGAATAAGGCTCGTAGTCTTCCACACACATATTTATACTTCTTGGTGGCAGCGACCCGTTCTTCTGGGGTCTTAGGTTAGGGCCCCGGGAGCATGCCCTTGGTAATGTGGGAGGCTGTCTGTGCACCCAGTGGCATCACATTCTGGGATGCCCTTTGCGGCCACTAGACTCCCAGGACCCCAGCCCTGGCCGCCACTACCTTCACCTACTACATTTTTTCAAATAGCTGGCCATGGTGGCTCATGCCTGTTGTCCTAGCTACTCAGGAGGCTGAAGTGGGAGGACCACTTGAGCCCAGGAGTTAGAGGTTGCAGTGAGCTATGGATTGCACCACTGCACCCCAGCCTGGGTGACAGAGCAAGACCTGGTCTCTAAAAATTAAAAAAAAAATTGTTTTCTACTATTCTATCTTAATTAAAACGCATGTGTAAAATGAGGTGAATTAACCCAGGTGAACATATTTTATTAAACTGCTTGTCAAGGAAGAGGGGTATGTATATAAATCCTAAATTTGGGGAGAAACAATCCCATTTTCAAATCTTATCCCATTTATCTATAAATAATTGTCATGTGTCATATTTCTGGATAGAATGTATTTGCCACTGAAAACACATGGCCATTGGACCAAGAGTTTCTGGTTTAGAGCCATCCAACAACCCTGTTTTCTTTGAAAAGTAAGTACCTGCAAGGTACTTTTCTCTGAAAAGCAAGGACTTGTTAAAGTCCTGTCTTTGGTCCTTTCGCCATAAATATTGTTGGGGCTCAGAGAACAATACCCCAAAATGAAGGCCTCAGAAGGGAAAGTTTTTCTTTGCCCTTCTCCTGCCACCCTGCTCTGAGTCCCATTCTTCCCTGAGGCTAGCCATAAAAACTAGAATCCCTTTTCTTCCAGGCAGATCATAGAAACCAGAACTCCTTTTCCCTAAAGCCAGTGATAAAACCTCAAAATATTACTGTAATTTTCCCTCTGCCTTTCTGTGTAAAAATTGGCTGTAAACAAATGATCTGATCTACCTTATTTGACTGTAAGTCGTGATTCCCATTCTAAAGAGGGACCGGCATGCCCCACACCCAGAAGGAAGGAATGAAGCTCAGAGAAGCCAAGAAGAATCTAGACAGACAGGCCTTGCTGGGTTTCCCCACTCAGCTTAGTAGCATTTTATTGGGGGAGCGAACCACTATGGTGGCATGGGGTAAAAGAATTTACCAAGACAGTTGTAGGTAAAGAAAGGCAGATTTATTAGAGAAAGTAGGAAAATACGTTGCGAGAACGTTGCAACAGGCAGGCCAGCAGAAGAGAAGTTGACTGCAAAGAAACAAAGGCTTGCTGGGGACTTTATAGAATAATGTTTATGCTGTCTGTTGAAGAGGGATTTGTGCAGTAGCGATAACACCAAGGTTGCAGTGAGCTAACTTGGAGGGGTCTGGTGATAGTTGGGCGGAGGAAGATTATCAGTTATTTGTGCAGGAGGGCTGTGTCCTGGACCATGAAGAAAGGCAGACTGGTAGCTTATCTGCGTCTTCTTTTTGCTTTCCCCTGCTCCCACCAGCCTGACTCCCTTTGTCTAATTAGGACACCACGTACCCTTTTTGTCCAATCATATTTCTTTTTTTTTTAAATTTTTTTGTTTTTTATTTTTTATTTTTTTTGAGATGGTGTCTTGCTCTGTCGCCCAAGCTGGAATGCGGTGGAGCCAATTTAAAATGATAAGAAATAAGTAATCTGGGGCCGGGTGTGGTGGTTCACGTCTGTAATCCCAGCACTTTGGGAGGCCGAGGAGGGCGGATCTCAAAGTCAGGAGATCCAAACCATCCTGGCTAACACGGTGAAACCCCGTCTCTACTAAAAAAATACAAAAAAATTAGCCGGGCTTGGTGGCGGGTGCCTGTAGTCCCAGCTACTTGGGAGGCTGAGGCAGGAGAATGGCGTGAACCCGGGAGGCAGAGCTTGCAGTGAGCTGAGATTGCACCACTGCACTCCAGCCTGGGCAACAGAGTGAGACTCCATCTCAAAAAAAAAAAAAATCTAAACTTTCCACCTTGGGTTGTGAAGCTACATCATGTGACCCTAACATACCATTAACTTTCTTATAGTCCCCTTCATGCAGCTCTGCACTCTTCCAGTCTCTCCTCAAGCTGGAAGGCACTAGAGCCAAGTGGTCAGTGAAGGCATGGGCTTTGGCCTTGGACTGACTTAGCTCTCCCACTAACCAGGCATGTTTCTTCTCTTGGATCTCCATTTCCTTATCTGAAATAATAATTGTTAATACAGGGATACCTGGGAGATATTGCAGATTTGCTTCCAGACCACTGCAATAAAGCACATATCACAATAAAGTGAGTCACATGAATGTTTGGTTTCCCAGTGCATATAAAAGGTGTATAATATACTGTAGTCTATTAAGTTGCCATAGCATTATGTTTAAAAAAAGTACATACCTTAATGAAAAAACACACCTCTGCTAAATAATGCTAATGATTATCTGAGACTTCAGTGGGTCGTAATCTTTTTGCTGATATTTTTGCCTCCATTTGAAGGCCACAGACTCACTAGGGTGGTGGTTGCAGAAGGTTGGTGTGGCTGTGGCAATTTTTTTTTCTTTCTTTTTTTTTTTTTGGGAACATACTCTCGCTCTTGTTGCTCAGGCTGAAGTGCAGTGGCGTTATCTCGGCTCACTGCAACCTCCACCTCCCAGGTACAGGGAATTCTCCTGCCTCAGCCTCCCAAGTAGGTGGGATTACAGGCGCCCACCACTATGCCCGGGTAACTTTTTTGTATTTTTAGTAGAGACGGGGGTTTCACCATGTTGACCAGGCTGGTCTCAAACTCCTGACCTCCGGTCATCCACCAGCCTCGGCTTCCCAAAATGCTAGGATTACCGGCATGAGCCACTGCTGTGGCAAATTTTTTTTTTTTTTTGAGATGGAGTTTCACTCTTGTTGCCCAGGCTGCAGTGCAATGGCCCGATCTCAGCTCACTGAAACCTCCACCTCCCGGGTTCAAGTGATTCTCCTACCTCAGCCTCCCAAGTAGGTGGGATTACAGGCATGCGCCACCACTCCTGGCTAATTTTGTATTTTTAGTAGAGACAGAGTTTCTCCATGTTGGTCAGGCTGGTCTCAAACTCTTGACCTCAGATGATCCGCCCGCCTCGGCCTCCCAAAGTGCTGGGATTACAGGTGTGAGCCACCACACCCAGAGGCTGTGGCAATTTTTAAAACTAAGACTATGGGCTGGGCACAGTGGCTCATGCCTGTAATCCTAGTATTTTGGGAGGCTGAGATGGGAGGATTGCTTGAGGCTGAGTTCAAGACCAACCTGGCCAACCTAGCAAGATCCCATCTCTATCAATTTTCTTTAAATTAAAAAAAATGACTATGTGATATTGTGAAATATATATTTGGTCGTAATCTTGTTTTGTGACATACAACTCCTAAAAGATTTAGAATCTCCAACGTGTTGTCTTTTGTGTGCTAATGAGTTGATTAATGGCTGGCAGCCCCTAGGTAGCTTCAGTATGGGGGCTGGTCACCAGAAACACCAAGGCAGGATTAAAGAATTGAAAGCCAGACACAGTGGCTCACGCCTGTAATCCCAGCACTTTGGGAGGCCAAGGCGGGCAGATCACTTGAGGTCAGGAGTTCGAGACTAGCCTGGCTAACATAGCAAGACTCCGTCTCTACTAAAAATATAAAAATTAGCCAGGCTTGGTGGCACCCACCTGTAATCCCAGCTACTCAGGAGGCTGAGGCAGGAGAATCACTTGAATCCAGGAGACGGAAGTTGCAGTGAACAACACTGCCCTCCAGCCTAGGCAACAGAGAGTAAGATTCCGTCTCAAAAAAAAAAAAAATTGTTGGGACTTTCAGCCCCACTGTAAACCTACCAAACCTGGGGAGGAGGGAAAGCGTTAGGGTTAAGCTGATCACCAATGGGCAATGATTTAATCAATCGTGCCTAGATGATGAGGCTTCCATAAAAACCCAGAAATGGGTTCAGAGATCTTCTGGATAGCTGAACACATGGAGGTTCCTGGAGAGTGACATGCCCGGGAGGACATGGAAGCTCTGTGTCTTTTCTCCCTATACATCTCCTTATCGGTGTCACTTGTAATATCCTTTATAGTAAACCAGTAAGTGGAAGTAAGTGTTTCCCAAGTTCTGTGAGTCACTCCAGCAAATCAAACCCAACAAGGAGGTCATTGGAACCCCAACGTGAAGCCAGTTAGTCAGAAGTTCTGAAAACCTAGACTTAAGACTGGTGGGAAGAGACTGGTCTTGTGGGACCTACTCCTCAACCTGTGGGATCTGATGTTATTTCCAGGTAGACTGTGTCAGAGTTGAATTGGAGGACACCCAGCTGGTGTCTGCTGCAGAACTGTTTGCCTGCCTGGTGTGTGGGGAGAAACCTCCCACATTTGGTCACAGAAGTATTCTGTGTTGATTGTTGCGTTGAGTGAGAGAATTGCACCAGGGATAGACTTCTCCTTACTAACTATGAAAGTCCTAGATGACTGGGACTTTCACAGCTAGTGAGGAGAAGTCTATGCCTGGTGCAGTTCTCCCAATAAAAGGCTGTTTTGGCTGGGCATGGTGGCTCACACCTGTAATCCCAGCACTTCAGGAGGCCGAGGCGGGTGGATCACCTGAGGTCAGGAGTTTGAGACCAGCCTGACCAACTTGGCTAAACCCTGTCTCTACTAAAAATACAAAAATTAGTGGGGTGTGGTGGCGCATACCTGTAATCCCAGCTACCTAGGGGGCTAAGGCAGGAGAATCACTTGGAGGCAGAGGTTGCCGTGAGCTGAGATCGTACCATTGCACTCTAGCCTGGGCAACAATAGCAAAACTCTGTCTCAAAAAAAAAAAAAAAAAAAAAAAAAAGGCTGTTTGTCTGTTGTTTAGTGGTTTAGTGTAGCCACCTTCATCAGTTATCTCAGCTAGGTCTTCTGGATAACTTGCTGCAGCTTCTACATCAGAGTTTGCTGCTTCACCTTGAACTTTTTTTTTTTAAGACAGGGTCTCACTATGTTGCCCAGGCTGGTTTTGAACCTCTGGGCTCAAGTGATCCTTCTTCCTCAGCCTCCAGAGTAGCTGTGACTACAGGCATGAACCATCACACCTGGCAAACTTGCACTTTAACATTATGGAGATGGCTTCTTTCCTTAAATTTAATAAGCCAACATATGCTAGCTTTAAACTTTTCTACTGCAGCTTCCTAACTTCTCCCAGCCTTCATAGAATTGAAGAGAATTAGGGCCTTGCTCTGGATTGGGCTTTAGCTTAAGCTTGTCCACCCTACAGCTTGTGAACTCCATGCAGCCCAGGATGGCTTTGAATGTGGCCCAACACAAAATTGTAAACTTTTTTAAAACATTATGAGATTTTTTTTGCGATTTTCTTAAAGCTCATCAGCTATTATTAGCGTTGTTGTATATTATGTGTGACCCAAGACAATTCTTCTTCTTCCAATGTGGCCTAGGAAAACCAAAAGATTGGACACCCCTGCTGTTTAGCTTAAGGGAATGTTGTGGCTAGTTTGATCTTCTATCCAGACCACTAAAACTTTCTCCAAATCAGCCATAAGGATGTTTTACTGTGTTCACTTAAGTAGGACTTTTAATTGCCTTCAAGAACTTTTCCTTTGCACTCACAACTTGGCTAACTGCTTAGGGGAAGAGGCCTGGCTTTCAGCCTATCTTGGCTTTCTCTATGCTTCATCATTTCTAGCTTTTGATTTAAAGTGAGAGACCCGAGACTCTTCCTTTCACTTGAACACTTAGAGGCCATTGTAGGGTTATTAACTGGCATAATTCCAATATTGTTTTGTCTCAGGGAATAGGGAGGCCTGAGGAGAGGGAAACAGATGGGAAAGGCCAGTTGGTGGAGCAGTCAGAACACACACAACATTTATTAAGTTCACCATCTTATGTGGGTGCAGTTCTGGGAGCCCCAAAACAATTACAGTAGTAACATCAAAGATCACCGTAACAGATATAATAATAATGAAAAAGGCTAGATGTGGTGGCTCACGCCTGTAATCCCAGCACTTTGGGAGGCCGAGGCTGGTGGATCACCTAAGGTCAGGAGTTCGAGACCAGCCTGGTCAAATGGTGAAACCTCGTCTCTACTAAAAATACAAAAATTAGCTGAGCATGGTGGCATGCACCTGTAATCCCAGCTACTTGGGAGGCTGAGGCAGTAGAATTGCTTGAACCTGGGAGGCGGAGGTTGCTGTGAGTCGAGATCGTGCCACTGCACTCCAGCCTGGGCAACAAGAGTGAAACTCTGTCTAAAAAATAAAATAAATAAAATAGGCTGGGCGCGGTGGCTCACACCTGTAATCCCAGCACTTTGAGAGGCCAAGGCGGGTGGATCATGAGGTCAAGAGATCGAGACCACCCTGGCCAACATGGTGAAACTCCGTCTCTACTAAAAATACAAAAATTAGCTGGGTGCGGTGGTGCACACCTGTAAGTCCCAGCCATTCAGGAGGCTGAGGCAGGAGAATCGCTTGAATCCAGGAGGCGGAGGTTGCAGTGAGCCGAGATCACACCACTGCACTCCAGCCTGGCAACAGAGCAAGACTCCATCTCATAAATAAATAAATAAATAAATAAAATAATGAAAAGACCGTAATATTGTAAGAATTACCAGATGTGACACAGAGACACAAAGTGAGCACATGCTGTTGAAAATGGTGCTGATAGACTCTCTTGACACAGGGTTGTCACAGACCTTTAACTTGTGGAAAATTTAATAAAGCAAAGCCCAATAAAACAAAGTATACCTGTATTTGAAAATTAAAATATGTTAAGTACTTTACACAGATTATCTAATTTAATCACAATAGCCCCATGAAGTAGTTACTATTATTACGCCCATTTCATAGATGAGGCATATAGACAGAAACCCCAGGCTGCACTACTTACTAAACTGTGTGAGCCTGGATTAGGCTGGGATTTACGTCTGCTGTAGAAGCATCCTTGAAAATATTACCTGTCTTAGTGCATTTGTGTTGCTATAAAGAAGAGTTACTAAAAAGAGGGTTTTTTTTGTTGGGGTAGAGGGGAGCAGTCTTTCTCTGTCACCCAGGCTGGATGGAGTGCAGTGGTGTGATCATGGTTCACTGTAGCCTTGTCCTCCTACACTAAAGTTATCCTCCCACCTCAGCATCCTGAGTAGATGGGACTACAAGTGGGTACCACTGCACCCGGCTAATTTTTATTTAAAAAAATTTTTTTGGGCGGGGCGCGTTGGCTCATGCCTGTAATCCCAGCAATTTGGAAGCCCGAGGCAGGTGGATCACCTGAGGTTAGGAGTTTGAGACCAGCCTGGGCAACATGGCGAAACCCCATCCCTACTTAAAAAAAATACAAAAAGATTAGCTGGGTGTGGTGGTGTGTGCCTGTAATCTCAGCTACTCGGGATGCTGAGGTAGGAGAATCACTTGAATCTGGGAGGTGGAGGTTGCAGTGAGCCGAGATTGCACCACTGCACTCCAGCCTGGGCAACAGAGCAAGATGCCGTATCAAAAAATATATATATTTGTAGAAACAGGGTTTCACTATGTTGTCTAGGCTGGTCTTAAACTCCAGGTCCCAAGCAATCCTCCCACCTCAGGCTCCCAAAATGTTGGGATTACAGGCATGAGCCACTGGCCCTGGCCAAAAAGAGGTTTATTTGGCTCACGGTTCTGCAGGCTGTACAAGAAGCACAGTGCCAGCATCTGCTTGTGGTGAGGGCCTGAGACTGCTTCCACTCACTGCAGAAGGGACAGAGGCCTAGCGTGTGCAGATCACATGGCGAGAGAGAAGCAGGAAAGAGGGGAAGGAAGTGCCAGGCTCTTTTTCACAACCAGCTCTCAGGGGAACTCTTGTGGGAACTCACAGAGAGGACTGCACCAAGACATTCCTGAGGGGTTGGCCCTCATGACCCAAACACCACCCATTAGGCCCCACCTCCAACATTGGGATGCAAATTTCTCTTTATTTTTTAGAGACAGGATCTTGCTCTGTCACCTAGGCTGGAATGCAGTGCCATCATCATAGCGAGAATTCCTGGGCTCAACCAATCCTCCTGCTTCAGCCTCCCAAGTAGCTGGGACTACAGGTGCTCATTACCATACCTGGTTAATTTTAAAAACATTTTTAGTAGAAACAGGGTCTTGCTACTTTGCTCAAGCTGGTCTCAAACTCCTGGCCTTGAGCAATCCTCCTACCTGGGCCTCTCAAAGTGTTGGGCTTACAGGCATGAGCCACCATGCCCACCTGGGGATCAAGTTTCAACATGGGATTTGGAGAGGACAACATCTAAACTATAACACTACCCTTTATATCACGTAATGTTTCTTAGTATGACTATCTTTGGAAGAAACTGATTTCTAAGTTTGGCTTTTATTTTATGAAAGTTGTAAATTTTGTGTAACTAATTAGGTCTCCTTCTTTGCGTAAACCACTATAAGGCCAGGCGTGGTGGCTCATGCCTGTAATCCCAGCACTTTGGGAGGCTGAGGTGGGCGGATCACCTGAACTCAGGAGTTCAAGATCAGCCTGACCAACATGGTGAAGCCCCATCTCTACTAAAAAAAATACAAAATTAGCCGGGCATGGTGGTGCATGCCTGTATTCCCAGCTACAGGGAGGCTGAGGCAGGAGAATCGCTTGAACCCGGGAGGCGGATGTTGCAGTGAGCCGAAGTTGCACCATTGCACTCCAGCCCAGGCAGCAAGAGCAAAACTCTGTCTCAAAAAAAAACAAAAACTAAACAAAAAAACCACTATAAAATACATGACTGAATGAGTGGTCAATCCAGGCAAGGGCATAGGATTCCATAATAAGCACTATTATATTAGCCTCATTTCTGGCTTAACTTTATGGATAACTTTTCTCTTTCTCCCTTCTGCTTCATATTGCTTTACTGCATTTCAAATGGCTTGATAACAACCTGAGATTCTTTTTGAAATAAAAATCTCAAGCCAGGCGCGGTGGCTCATGGCTGTAATCCCAGCACTTTGGGAGACCAAGGCAGGCGATCACCTGAGGTCAGGAGTTCGAGACCAGCCTGACCAACATGGAGAAACCCTTTCTCTACTAAAAGTACAAAATTAGCCGGGTGTGGTGGTGCGCCTATAATCTCAGCTACTAGGGAAGCTGAGGCAGGAGAATCACTTGAACCCAGGAGGCAGAGGTTGCGGTGAGCCGAGATCGCACCACTGAACTCCAGGCTGGGCAACAAGAGCGAAACTCTGTGTCAAAATATATATATTGGAGACAGGTGGCCACATACAGTCACCTCTCAGGGAAAAGCAAGCAAATATCTTCAGTCAGTGTATGCCATTTCTAGGTTGCTTTATCTGTAAGGAAGAAATCGAGGTCTAGGGCTGTCTTGCCCTAGTTCTTCAATACATATAGATGTGGAGTCATCATTCTCCTGCATGACTTCTGGGACTACCTTTTTGGCCTTTGCTTTCTCATCCTCCCTGCCACTTTCCTCATATCTTCCTCCTGTGATCTCCCACCCCAAGAGCATCTCCACAGTAGCAGGTCCACTTGGGAGTGAGTTAAAGCATAGGCTCCCAGAATTCACATCATAGAAAATTATACTACACAGGCCAGGCGCAGTGATTCACGCCTGTAATCCCAGCACTTTGGGAGGCCTAGGGGGGCAGTTCGCTTGAGCCCAGGAGTTGGAGACCAGCCCGGGCAACGTAATGAGACCTCATCTCTACAAAAAATAAAAAGTTAGCCAGGTTTGGTGGTGCATGCCTGTAGTCCCAGTCACTTGGGAAGTTGAGGTGAGAAGATCACTTGAGCCCAGGAGGTTGAGGCTGCAGTAAGCCATGATCATGCCACTATACTCCAGCCAGGATGACAGAGTGAGACTGTCTCAAAAAAAAAAAAAAAAAAAAAAGAAAGAAAGAAAGGAAAATTATACTACAAGGTGAATGACTATACTCAACACAGAGTTTAACAACTGATCAAAATTAAGTTACCTCTAAGGAACTTTTCATTGTTAAGATCTAATGGGCACTTGCTTGGATAGATTGAAATTGGTGAAGGATTTTGTACGTACTCAGAAAATCATGGGATGTGCCGTGAAATCACAGAAAAACTTTCTTATGCTCAAGGAAGACTCTCTGCTCTGGTCTGTTATGACTCTAGATAGTGCCCAGTATACTGCAGTAGGTTGAGGCAGACAGGTCCCAGTCCTTCTCAGTAGGAGGGTAATTGGACTAGATGGTTGTGGGAGGAAGTCCGATTTGGTAGGTATAACATGACATCAAAGATGAAGGCCATGGCGTGCAAGGTATTGTCCTGAAAATCTTGGCATCAAGGCATTCCTCCAGGCAGGCAATGACCATATAGTGACTGGGAATCCCCTGGCAAACGTAAAAGAAGTATATCCACAGGTATAATGCTCCTGGTCTTCAGACTGGCGTTCAGAGACAAGTGTTTTTTGAGACAGAGTTTTGCTCTTGTTGCCCAGGCTGGAGGGCAGTGGCGCGATCTCGGCTCACTGCAACCTCCACCTCCTGAGTTCAAGCAATTCTCCTGCCTCAGCCTCCCAAGTAGCTGGGATTACAGGTGCCCGCCACCTTGCCTGGCTAATTTTTTGTATTTTTAGTAGACACTAGGTTTCATCATTTCATCATGTTGGCCAGGCTGGTCTCAAACTCCTGACCTCAGGTGATCCACACGCCTTAGCCTCCCAAGTGCTGGGACTACAGGCGTGAGCCACCGTGCCCGGCCCAGGGAGAAGTCTTGAGTAAATGTTCAGCAATGTGTATGGGCAAGAATGAGGTAGAGCCAGGCGTGGTGGCTCAGGCCTGTAATCCCAGCACTTTGGGAGGCTGAGGTGGGTGGATCACCTGACATCAGGAGTTTGAGACTAGCCTGGCCAACATGGTGAAACCCTGTCTCTACTAAAAATACACAAATTAGCTGGGCATGGTGGCACGAGCCTGTAGTCCCAGATACTCGGAAGGCTGGGGCAGGAGAATCGCTTGAACCTGGGAGGCGGAGGTTGCAGTGAGCTGAGCTCGTACCATTGCACTTCAGCCTGGGCAACAAAAGCGAGACTCCGTCTCAAAAAAAAAAAGAATGAGGCAGAGTCCATTCCTTAAGGCAATCGAGTGGGCAGTTTCCCAAGACTCAGACGTGGTCAGTTAGGGCCAAAGGGGATATGAGACTCCAGAGCAATACCAAAGGTCAGTCCTCAGAAAGGGAACACGAGGCCAAAGCTGGGCCAGCAACTGAGTTGGGAAAGCACTTCTTACATTTCTCTTGCTTAAGGTGAAGACCGGTCCTACATATAAGATCAAGGTTAAGCCTACGTGGACCTAGCAGTGACGGAAGGCAGGTTGCAAAGGTTGAGAATCAGGGAGGACCTGACAAAAAAGCTGAGCTGGTTGCTTTGTCACTAAAAAGGTTGCTACGGGCTCTGGGAAACCCAACACAGGCTGGGTGTGGTTGCTCACACCTGTATTCCCAGCACTTTGGGAGGCTGAGTGAGGTAGGCATATCACCTGAGGCAGGAGTTCAAGACCAGCCTGGCCAACATGGCGAAACCTTGTCTCTACTAAAAATACAAAAATTAGCTGGGTGCCGTGGTGTGCACCTGTAATCCCAGATACTCGGGAGTCTGAGGTCGGAGAACAGCTTGGACCTGGGAGGCAGAGGTTACAGTGAGCCAAGATTATGCCACTGCACTCCAGCCTATGTGACAGAGTGATACAGGAAAAAAAAAAAAAAAGAGAAAAGAAAGAAAGAAAACCCAACACAAGTTGTATGAATAGGATTTTTATTAATGGTATCTGGTCTGTGGCTACAATGTTATATTTTGCTGTGCTTGACAGATTTTTTACCATTGAGATGTTTATGGAAGAAAGTTTGAATTTGCTGCCAGGCATCTACCTGTGCCTTTGAGTGAGCCTTTGGCTCACCTCCATAGAATATTGCCTCACCCAAAACAGCGTGCACAGAAGCTCTAGAAGGAGGAAAATAAGGTGGGTCAATACAGTGACCAGTTTCTGGGTAACAGATTATCTGGGGTCTTTCTTTCCCATGAGCTTGTAGCCTTTCAGAGGCTATCTGAGCATAGAATTCACTCTTCCAGCTTTGATCATCCATGCCAACAATAAACAAGAAGGGCACCTGCGCCTTTTCCAATGGAACAAGACTTTGGTGATTGTGTTCCTCCAGTGGATTGCTCCAAGTGTCCATAAAAGTGAGAAATCCTGACTTAGTGATTTTTACTTTTCCTAGATCATCGACAAGTTTAGGAATAATCATATCCTTGTAATGTAGAGGAGCTACTGTGTTGGCTACACAGGCATTGATAAGTACAGTGGCTGTGATGCCCTTCAAGAAAGAAGCCATTGAGAGACACAGGTCACCTCCTTTGGAAAATCCAAGAAGCGCAATACTAGGACCTTTCACCTGTTGAGGAAAAAGAGAAGGAAAACAAGCTTAGAATTCATAAATGGAGGACACAGACAGTGATTTTACATTCTCCAAGTAGCTTTCTCTTTTTTTTCTTTTTTGAGATGGAGTCTCGCTCTGTCACCCAGGCTGGAGTGCAGTGGTGCAATCTTGGCTCACTGTAACCTCCACCTCCCGGGTTCAAGCAATTCTCGTGCCTCAGCCTCCCGAGTAGCTGGGATTACAGGCGCCCACCACCACGCCCGGCTAATTTTTGTATTTTTAGTAGAGACAGGGTTTCACCATGTTGGCCAGCTGGTCTCAAACTTCTGACCTCAAGTGATCCGCCTGCCTTGGCCTCCCAAAGTGCTGGGATTATAGGCATGAGCCACCGTGCCCCGCCAGTAGCTTTCTTAACTATCATTTGCTTTCCTTCCGTATCCAACAATCTGCAAAGTTCAAATATGTCTTCTAATAAGCAAATCAACTGATTTCCTAGTAATGGGTCATCCCCTAATATTTATGAGGACTGGGTCAGGAGTATACACAGAGGCCCAGACACCCTATACCTAAATATTTCAAAATTATAAATCAAATGAACAAACTGTTAAATACAGTATATTATTTTCTCCTGCCTTGATAAATATACCACCATAACAATTCATAAGTTCAGGCTCAAATTTAAAATCTTGGAATCCACTGGAGTTCTGTACTGGAAAGTGACATAGGGGAGAGGTCAGCCCGTGGGCCCTGCACCACACTCCTTCTCTTCCATCACTGGCTCCTTCGTGGACCTTAAGGGGCCTCTCACACATATGTGTGGACACCCCAGCTTGCATGTTTAAGGCCTAGGTATATATACACCGACGAACCCAGAAAAGAGGCTTAGGGCCTGGAAGCAGGATCAGAGCTGTTTGGCAGAGAATTCTGGGGTGCCGGATCCCAAGAGCACTAGGGGTTGTGGGGGAGAGAACCCTGCAGAACATCTTATATCTTAACATTAGAATGTCTGGATCTCTTTAAACCTGGATGATAACAAAGAGTATATATAATTCCATTTTTAATTATACCAAAATTTGTTGTCGTTGTTGTTGTTGGGTTTTTTTTTGAGATGGGGTTTCATTCTTGTTGCCCAGTCTAGAGTGCAATGGTGTAATCTCGACTCACTGCAACCTCTGCCTCCTGAGTTCGAGCAATTCTCCTGCCTCAGCCTCCCGAGTAGCTGGGATTACAGGTGTGCACCACCATGCCCAGCTAATTTTTGTATCTTTAGTAGATGGGGTTTCACCATGTTGGCCAGGCTGGTCTCAAACTCCTGACCTCAGGTGATCTGCCCGCCTTGGCCTCCCAAAGTACTGGGATTACAGACGTGAGCCACCGCACCTGGCCAAAATGTTTTAATTAATTAATTATTTCTGTTATCAGATAAGGACTTTCTTTACAAAACCATAATACCATTATCATACCCAACAAAATTAATGATTACTTCATATAATCAAATACACCATTCTCATTCAAATGTCTCCAGTTGTCTCAAAAAATATCTCTTTATAGTCATTTTCTCTATATACATTTACATTAATCTTATTAAGGAGGAAAATTGAACTCCAGAGAGAGTAACTGCCTTATTCAGAATCATAAGGCCACTCTGTGGTAGATGCAGAGCTGGAACTTTTTTTAGTCCTGTGCTCTTTGAATTTTGGTCCACAATTACAAAGACAACTAAATAGTCAAGTCTTCAGGGATTAGAGAGAGATGGGAGAAAATGGAAATAATAATCCTAGTACAAAAACTTTTTTTGAGACAGGGGTCTCACTAAATGTTGCCCAGGCTGGTCTTGAACTCCTGGGGTCAAGCAATCCCCCGGCCTCAGCCTCCCAGGTAGCTGGGACTACAGGTGCACATCACCATGCCCAGCTTCCACCCTAGTAACCTTTGAAGGAGACTTGGTATCTCCTGGCATGTTTCTAGTTCTCAGTGTTCTGGCAGGGCTTTTGGATTCAGCCCTGCATCAGCTCTATCCCCTCTCTTCTGCACTCAGGTGATCACCAGAACGCACCTTTGGATGCTGCAGCATAAAGTCCACGGCTTCTTCAAAGTACTCCAGATGTACATCATTCAGATCTTCGGGGAGGTCTTCAAATCTGAAATAAGCCAGGGCAAGCACAGCAAAACCATGTCCGGCCAGGAGGCTGGCCCTGTATTCACAAAGGCCCCTGCTGCTCCCAAACAGATCAATGATCCCAGGAAAGGGCCCCCTGCCTGGAGAACATCACAAATCACAGGGAGCTTTAGTTTCTCAAAAGACAGTAAGCAAACAAGTTTTTGAAGCCAAGGAGATTGGGGGTAGAGAGATTGGCAGAGAAAGAACAAAATGTCTTATTTTCTCAAACAATAATGATAATATAGAGGGATAAAAAACTACATATTGGGTACAATGTATACTACTCAGGCGACAGGTGCACTAAAATCTCAGCGTTCATCACTGTACAGTTCATCCGTGTAACCCCAAACCACCTGTACACCAAAAGGTATTGAAATTAAAAAAAAAATTTTTTTTTGACAGTCTCACTCTGTCGCCCAGGCTGAAGTGCAGTGGTGCAATCTCAGCTCACTGCAACCTCTGCCCCCTGGGTTCAAGCAATTCTCCTGCCTCAGCCCCCCAAGTATCTGGAATTACAGACATGCAACAGACACCCGGCTAATTTTTTTTGTATTTTTAGTAGAGACTGGGTTTTGCCATGTTGGCCAGGCTGGTCTTGAACTCCTGACCTCAGGTGATCTGCCCACCTTGGCCTCCCAAAGTGCTGCGATTACAGGTGTGAGCCACCGCAACCGGCCTAAAACTTTTTAATGATATAAATTATTGTCACACCACTGCACTCCAGCCTGGGTGACAGAGTGAGACTCTATCTCAAAAATAATAATAATAATAATATTATTTTCACAAACAAAAATAAACCAAGTTAGAAATAACATAATGAGGCCAGGTGTGGTGGTTCATGCCTATAATCCCAGTGCTTTGGGAGGTCAAGATAAGAGGACCACTTGAGGCCAGGAATTCACGACCAGCCTGGGCAACATAACAAGACCCATCTCTACAAAAAAGTTTAAAAAACTAGCTGGGCATGATGGCACTTGCCTATAGTCTTAGCTACTCAGGAGGAAGAGGCGGGAGGATCATCTGAGCCCAAGAGTTCCAGTTTGTGGTGACCTGTGATCACACCACTGCACTGTAGCCTGTAGATCACTGTAACCTTGAATCCTTGGGCTCAAGTGACCCTCCAGCCTCAAGAAGCCACCCTCCCAAGTAGCTAGGCCCCTATGCTTGGCTAATTTTTAACTTTTTATAGAAATAGGGTCTCACTATGCTGCCTGGGCTAGTCTCAAACTCCTGGCCTCAAGCAATCCTCCCACTGCAATGCTCCCACCTCGGCCTCTTCAAGTGCTGGGATTTTAAGTGCGAGCCACTGCACTCAGCCTGTTTGTTTGTTTGTTTGTTTGTTTGTTTGTTTGTTGAGACAAGGTTTCACTCTTGTTGCCCAGGCTGCAGTGCAATGGTGCGATCTCGGCTCACTGCAACCTCCGTCTCCCCCCGGGTTCAAGCGATTCTCCTGCCTCAGCCTCCCGAGTAGTTGGTATTACAGGCATGTGCCACCACACCTGGCTAATTTTGTATTTTTAGTAGAGATGGGGTTTCACCATGTTGGTGAGGCTGGTCTCAAACTCCTGACCTCAGATGATCCGCCCACCTTGGCCTCCCGAAGTGTTGGGATTACAGGCGTAAGCCACTGCGCCCAGTCTTGTTTTTTTTTTCGTTGTTGCTGGTTTTTTTTGTTTTTTGTTTTTTTTTTTTTTTTTTTATCAGACAGAGTCTCTCTCTGTTGCCCAGGCTGGAGTGATGTGGTGTGATTTTGGCTCACTGCAACCTCCACCTGCCGGGTTCAAGCAATTCTCCTGCCTCAGCCTCCTGAGTAGCTGGGATTACAGGCGCCCGCCACCATGCCCGGCTAATTTTTTGTATTTTTAGTAGAGACAGGGTTTCACCATCTTGGCCAGGCTGGTCTTGAACTCCTGACCTCGTGATCCACCCACCTTGGCCTCCCAAAGTGCCGGGATTAGAGGCGTGAGCCACCGCGCCTGGCCGCCTTGTTTTTTTTTTTGAGATGGAGTCTTGCTCTGTCCTCCAGGCTGGAGTGCAACGGTGCGATCTTGGCTCACTGCAACCTCTGCCCCCTGGGTTCAAGAGATTCTCCTGCCTCAGCCTCCTGAGATTACAGGCACCCACCACCATGCCCGGCTAACTTTTGTATTTTTAGTAGAGACGGGGTTTCACCATGTTGGTCAGGCTGGTCTCGAACTCCTGACCTCAGGTGATCCACCTGCCTCGGCCTCCCAAAGTGCTGGGATTACAGGCGTGAGCCACTGCGCCCGGCTCCTTGTTTGTTTTTAATGAAAGGTTTTAGTTGATTCTTAGTCAGTGTGATTTTTTTTTTTTTTTTTTTGAGACAGGGTCTCGCTCTGTCGCCCAGGCTGAAGTGTAGTGGCGCAATCTTGGCTCACTGCAACCTCAGCCTCCCGGGTTCAAGCGATTCTCCCACCTCAGCCTCCCTAGTAGCTGGGACTACATGTGTGAGCCACTATGCCTGGCTAATTTTTTTGTATTATATAATTAGTAGAGGTAGGGTTTTGCCATGTTGGCCAGGCTAGTCTTGAACTCCTGGCCTCAAGTGATCCACCCACCTCAGCCTCCCAAAGTGCTAGGATTACAGGTGTGAGCCACTGCGCCTGGCCCAGTCAGTATGATTTATTGAGCTCCTACTATATCCTTGCGAAAGCCTCTAGGAACATGGATATTTAGAAATCTGTAAGACCCAATTCCAGCCCCAGGAATTCACAGTACAGTGGGCAGCCACGAGTTAAGGCTAAGAATTGCTGAAGAGCTGTAAAAATAAAGCAAGTTTTCTTGTTTTGGAGAATAATCACAGAATTCGGTTTAAGGATTCTATGTGCTGTTGCAACTCTAGAATTTGTTGTTGTTGTTGTTGTTTGAGGCAGGGTTTCACTCTGTTGTCCAGGCTGGAATGCAGTGGCGTGATCTCAGCTCACTGCAACCTCTACTTCCTGATATCAAACAATCCTCCCACCTCAGCCTCCCAAGCAGCTGGGACTACAGGCATGCACCACCATGCCTGCCTAATTTTTTTTTTTTTTTTTTTTTTTTTGTAGAGACAGAGTTTCACCATGTTGCCCAGGCTGGTCTTGAACTCCTGGGCTCAAGTGATCTGCCCACCTCAGCCTCCCAAAGTGCTGGGATTACAGGCCTGAGCCACTGTGCCCGGCTCATCATTTTTATATGGTAGAGGTTTAAGTCAGGAATTTAGTTAGAAGGGATTAATCAGGAGTCTTCTTTCTGGGCTACCTTTACCTAGCAAACATCCTGTGTTTACTTAGACTAGGGTTCCTCAACCTCAGTAGTACAGACATTTTCAGCAAGATAATTCTTTGTTCTGGTGGTTGTCCTGTGCATTGTGGAATGTTTAGCAGCATCTCTGGCCTCTGCCTGCTAGATGCCAATAGCACCTCTCCCTTCAGATATGACAACCACAAATGTCTCCAGATATTGCCAAATTTCCCCCAGGGAGGGCGGCTAATCATTGCAGGTTGAGAACCACGTACAGCATGTTTATGATAGAAGGGAGAGGACTGTCAGGCAGTTTTGTGTGTGTTTTTAAACAATTAAAGGGCATTGCCAATACTGTGGATTTTAGCTTCTTTGGAAGTTTGATGTGAAAGGAGGCAAAAATCCTTCTTGCACATCAGCTTAAGGTTTTGCCCATATCGTATTCAAACAAAACCACATGGCTGGCACATAGTGGCTCTCAATAAATATATAATAAGTTGAATGCACTATTCAGCACATAGCTAAAGTGGTGGTGCCTCCAGGGAGGGACGTGAAACTTAAAAAGGAAAGACTGGAGTAGCTACTCAGGAGGCTGAGGCGAGAGGACTTGAGCCCAGGAGTTCGAGGCTGCAGTGTGAGCTACGATCCAGCCACGGCACTCCAGCCTGGGCAACAGCGGACGCCCAGACTCAGAATCCATGACAGACTCTGGAGCGAAGGAACAAGTTCAGGGATGTTCCACAATCACGCGATTCCCAGGACAGGAAAGGGGCCGGTGGGGGTCGCAGAGCTCGACCAAATTCTGGGCAGACTACTCATCCGGCGGCAGGAAGAGCGCGGCGCGCACCGGGCCCGCGCGCACCGGCTCGCGCCGCACCCCCGGCCGGAGAAAGTCGCGCTTGTTCTGCGCCAGGCACAGCAGCCGCCCGGGCTCGGTGTCGTGGCCGTCCAGCACTTCCAGCTCCACGGCGAAGGGCGTCCGCACGTCGCGCTTCACCAGCCGCACCAAGGCTTTCTCGGGCTCCAACGCCCACAGCAGCCCCATGGGCTGGAGCCCCGCGAAGCTGCCTCCCAGCGCGGGCGCGCGCTCCAGGTCCAGCTCGTCGCGGGCGTCGGCACGGTAGCGCGCGTGGGCCCGGAAGAGCGCGCCCTCTTCGTCGCGCAGGGACGTGCGCAGCGTGACTGGCTGCTCCGGGGCCAGGCCGCGCACTGCGATGCGCAGCGGCTCGTCCCAGCAGCAGCGGCCCGCGGGCTCCAGGATCAGCGTCGCTGCCATCCCAATCTGGGTAGAACAGGGGCGACCCAGCTCCGCGGAGTCAGTGGGCGGGCCTGGCGGCTTTGCCGAGCGCTGGAAAGTAGTCGAGGGCGGAGCCCTTAACACTACTCCCATTGGTTGGACTTGGGGACAGGCTCCAGGCCGCTGCGTGGGGCGCCTAGAATTTGTGCAAATACACCAGTGTCCCAAATGAAAGAGTATCTGCTGAAATAAGAGTTAATGACCAATCCGGCCGGGGGCGGTGGATCACGCCTGTGATCCTAGAACTTTGGGAGGCCGAGGTGGGTGGATCACACCTGAGGTTAGGAGTTCAAGACCAGCCTGACCAACAGAGTGAAACCTCATCTCTACTGAAAATACAAAATAGCCAGGTGTGGTGGCGCATGCCTGTAATCCCGGCTACTTGGGAGGCTGAGGCAGAAGAATTGCTTGAACCCAGGAGGCAGAGGTTGCATTGAGCCAAGATTGCACCATTGTACTCCAGCCTAGGCAACAAGGGCAAAACTCCGTCTAAAAAAAAAAAAAAAGAGTTAATGACTATTCCTGCAATCCAATGTGGTGAGTGTCGAAATAGAGGCACAAAAACCACTGAGAGCTAAAGGATTGAGAGAGATACAGTCCAAGAATCTAGATTTTGAAAAAGCATCCCAGGTGATTGTACTCAGGTGACCCCTTGGAGAAACATGGTCGTAATCCGTCCTTTACCCCTCAGTCCCTTACCAAGCCTTTTTTCCAGGGCTAATGGTACCTGGAGCAAAGCAGATGTTTAGGGAGGCAGACCTAGCCGAGTTCTGGTCTGACCCTGATCCTTAATATTAATACCTGGTGATCTTTAGCAAGAAACATAACCCTCTAAATTCAGTTTTCTTATCTGAAAAGGCTTATTGTGACCATTAAATGGGCTAATGTGTAAAAACACTACACTGACACACCTGTAGGTTAGTACCCAGTGAAAGTTTTGTTTTGTTTCTTACCTCACAAATCTAATCACTGGCAGAGTCCATTTTGGGTTGTATGCATACAGAGTTCTGGCAGTAAGCAAGTGGCACTCTCAGCCTGTGTAATTGAGGAGAGTTTTATAAAGGTACTATCTACAAAGGCATGGGCAAGATTTAAAAACAAAAACAATGAAACAAGATTCGGTGTAGAACCCTGAATCTGAAGGTTCAAGGGAAGGGGGCAGTCTGATAGGAGTTGTACCTTTTTTAGAAGGAACCTATGGTTTGTGGCAGGAAGGAGGAGACTATAAGTCCCTTGACTCTCCTCTTGTTTTTCAGTATCTTGCTAATGCCTCTCTTTGGCCAAACCCAACCACACAGCTCAACCTAGCTGGGAACATAGCAGGGTGGAGAAGGAAGAAGAGCATATAGTGATGCCCAGCTCAGTAAACATGTATAAACTGAACAAAAAGGTATTAGACTCTATGAAGCAAGTTCACTGTATGCTGGTTACCAACTTGTCTGAGTCCAGTGAGAAAACACATTCATATATTTAATACAACAATTTACATGAACTGGATTTATTACTTACAGATAGGCAGCAAAGAATGACAGAAGCCTAAGAATCATTGGAAACCAGTCCCCCAAGGCTCAGGAATGCTGCCTGGGTGATGGAATCTCATGTGTGTGTGCCCCACTTGCACTGCAGCTGCCCTGAGTTTTGTACTCTGGGGTCATGTGACTGCTGGGTTAAAGCATTGAAAGACATCCTGTTTGTAGGGAGGGGCTGGAATAGAGCCAGGGCTATTCCAGCCAGTCCGTCCCTCTCTCAGGATGTTACATTCCCAGCACGTTCTATGCTTGAGAACTACTAGTGAGAAAGAGGGGAGAACTGAGTCAGTCCAAGGCCAACCAGAGAACTGCCCTGCAGTCCATCCCCAACCCAGATACCTCCTTTAGTAAACCTAGTACATTTCATATGCCCTCCAGACCCCCAGGATCTGGAGGCAGAGGTTTGTCTGATCATATTAATATGGCACCTTGGTCGGGCACGGTGGCTAATGCCTGTAATCCCAGCACTTTGGGAGGCCGAGGGGGGCGGATGACTTGGGGTCAGGAGTTTGAGACCAGCCTGGCCAACATGGTGAAACCCTGTCTCTACTAAAAATACAAAAATTAGCTGAACGTGGCAGCACGCGCCTGTAATCCCAGCTATTCAGAAGGCGGCGGCAGGAGAATTGCTTGAACCCGGGAGGTGGTGATTGCAGTGAGCCGAGATCTCGCCACTGCTCTCCAGCCTGAGCGACAGAGCAAGACTCCCTCTAAAAGAAAAAAAAAAAAAAGCGACACTTGACTGAAACAATCTCGGTGCAACATTGTTAAGCCATGGCCGGAATATATTGCATTAGGCCCAGGAGACTACTATAATAAGCAGGATGATCAGGCTTGCTTGGAGCTGTGGCCTACCCCCAAGTCCTAGTGATCCAGGCAAGAAGTTTTGAGGTCCAAGAAAGATTCTTTAGGTAGCCACTCTGACTGCAACCAGTAGGCCTGCTTCCAGATCCTCTACCTATGTCTCCACCATGCCTGAGGTGTTTATCCAGGTACACCAGGAGGTGTTGGCAGTGGCACACACTCCTCCCAATTAGTCTAAAAAAAAAAAGGGTAGAGGAATTCTGTTGTTTAAAACAACCTGGCCAGGCGCGGTGGCTCATGCCTGTAATCTCAGCACTTTGGGAGGCTGAGGCGGGTGGATCACGAGGTCAGGAGTTTGAGACCAGTCTGGCCAACATGGTGAAACCCCGTCTCTACTAAAAATACAAAAATTAGCCAGGCATGGTGGTGCGTGCCTGTAGTCCCAGCTACTCGGGAGGCTGAGGCAGGAGAATTGCTTGAACCCGGGAGGCAGAGGTTGTGGTGAGCCGAGATCGCACCACTGCATTCCAGCCTGGGTAACAG
This sequence comes from Homo sapiens, assembly GCF_000001405.40. Classification (NCBI taxonomy): domain Eukaryota; kingdom Metazoa; phylum Chordata; class Mammalia; order Primates; family Hominidae; genus Homo; species Homo sapiens. Next base: position 73,609,674 of record NC_000014.9, on the reverse strand, counting down.
AGCGAGATTCTGTCTCAAAAATAAAATAAAATAAAATAAATAATAGAACAACCTTCCCAAGGGAGTTGAAGGATGTCCCTGTGCTGCCAAGGCAGTGGCACTGGAAGCAGCAATATCAGGCACAGTTTTCTTATCATTTTTTTCATGAGCACTGACTCCTATATATGGTACCAAAAATTTCATAGAGGACCTAAACCTAGAATCAGCCACGACCTGGCAGGTTCCTAATAAGCATGGTGCATACTTTTAGACTACTGGCCCAATGATGTTTCTTGTACCCAGGGGTGATATGCAGGAGCACCCCCAGCATGCCCAATGTCCAGGATCCCATCATCTGCCAGCTTTCCAGGTATGACATTGTCCATCCCATGTTTGGCTCACTCCCAGATCACCCACAGAGGAAGAGGCAGCTTTTGGATGCACACTGCATCATTTTATTCAGCAACCCAGTCATGGCTATGGAGGATTGGTATTCACCAGCCAATTCTCATTGATGGCATAGTGACATGAGCTCAGTCTCCCCCATACAATCAATATCGTTCACAAAACCTGTACACAGAGGGTTAGCATTACACCTGATATGGTTTGGCTGTGTCCCCACCCAAATCTCATCTTGAATTATAGTTCCCATAATCCCCATATGTCCTGGGAGGGACCTGGTGGGAGGAAATTGAATCATGGGGGTGGTTAGTCTCATGCTGTTCTGGTGATAGTGAGTGAGTTCTCATGCGATCTGATGGTTTTATAAAGGCTTTCCCCCTTTTGCTCAGCACTTTTTGTTGCCGCCATGTGAAGGACATGTTTGCTTCCCCTTCTGCCATGATTGTAAGTTTCCTGAGGCCTCCTCAGCCATGCTGAACTGTGAGTCAATTAAATCTCTTTCCTTCGTAAATTATCCCATCTCAGGTAGGTCTTTATTAGCAGTGTGAGAACAGACTAATACAGTAAGTTAGTATCACAGAGAGTGGGGCACTGCTGTAAAGATACCCAAAAATGTGGAAGCGACTTTGGAACTGGGTAACAGGCAGCAGTTGGCACCGTTTAGAGGGCTCAGAAGAAGACAGGAAAGCGTGGGAAAGTTTAGAACTGCCTAGAGACTTGGAGGGCTCAGAAGACAGAAAGATGTGAGAAAGTTTGGAACTTCCTAGAGGCTCATTAAATGGCTTTCACCAAAATGCTGATAGTGATATGAACAATGAAGTCCAGGCTGAGGTGGTCTCAGATGGAGATGGGGAACTTGTTGGGAACTGAAGTAAAGGTCACTCTTGCTATGCAAAGAGGCTGGTGGCATTTTGCCCCTGCCCCAGAGATCTGTGGAAGTTTGAACTTGAAAGAGATGATTTAGGGTAACTGGCAGAAGAAATATGTAAGCAGCAAAGCGTTCAAGAGGAAGCAGAGCATAAAAGTTTGGAAAATTTGCAGACTGACTATGCTATAGAAAAGAAAAACCCTGGCGGGGCACAGTGGCTCATGCCTGTAATCCCAGCACTTTGGGAGGCCAAGGCAGGTGGGTCACAAGGTCAGGAGGTTAAGATCAGCCTGGCCAAGATGGTGAAACCCCATCTCTACTAAAAGTACAAAAATTAGGCAGGCACAGTGGCAGGCGCCTGTAATCCCAGCTACTCGGGAGGCTGAGGCAGGCGAATCGCTTGAACCCAGGAGGCGGAGCTTGCAGTGAGTCAAGATTGCACCACTGTACTTCAGCCTGGGCAACAGAGCAAGACTCTATCTCAAAAGAAAAAAGAAAACCCCGCTGGGCATGGTGGCTCATGCCTATAATCCCAGCACTTTGGGAGGCCGAGGTGGGTGGATCACCTGAGTTCAGGAGTTCGAGACCAGCCTGGCAAACATGGTGAAACCCCATCTCTACTAATAATACAAAAATTAGCCAGGCGTGGTGGTGCATGCCTGTAATCCCAGCTACTTGGGAGGCTGAGGCAGGAGAATTGCTTGAACCCAGGAGGCAGAGGTTGCAGTGAGCCCAGATCGCTCCATTGCACTCCAGCCTGGGTGACAAGAGCGAAAGTCTTCCTCCAAAAAAAAAAGAAAGAAAAGAAAAGAAAACCCTATTTTCTGGGGAGAAAATCAAGCCGGCTGCAGAGACTTGCATAAGTAACAAGGAGCCTAATGATAATCACCAAGACAATGGGGAAATGTCTCCAGGGCATGTCACAGACCTTCATGGCAGCCCCTCCCATCACAGGCCTGGAGGCCTAGAAGGGAAAAATGATTTCTTGGTCTGGGTCCAGAGCCCTCCTGCTGTGTGCAGCCTTGTGACTTGGTGCCCTGTGTCCCAGCCACTCCAGCCCTGGCTAAAAGGGGCCAAGGTACAGTTCAGGACATTTCTTTCTTTTTTTATTTTTTTGAGACTGAGTCTCTCTCTGTCACCCAGACTGGAGTGCAGTGGTGCAATCTTGGCTCACTGCAACCTCTGCTTCCCAGGTTCAAGCAATTCTCCTGCGTCAGCCTCCCGAGTAGCTGGGATCATAGGCACGTGCCATGACACCCAGCTAATTTTTGTATTTTTAGTAGAGACAGGGTTTCACCATGTTGGCCAGGCTGGTCTCAAATTCCTGGCTTCGTGATCCACCCACCTCGGCCTCCCAAAGTGCTGGGATTACAGGCGTGAGCCACAGTGCCTGGCCTCCATCTTGTTTTATGACCTTGAGAGCTTGACGTTGTAACCACAAGATGGTACTTCCTCTTGGTCTCCACCTTCCAGTGAACAGAAATTTGGGGGATCATGTTATAGTTAGCTCTAAAAATTATTGAGTAGTTAAAAGCCTTTGCAAGCTCAGAATCAACTACTCTAGACTCCTTCTGGGAAGGTGAATGAAGACTGCCCAGTGCTGTAGCTCAGTAGCTAAGATCACTGTGTGATCTCTCGCACAGTGGCCTAGGTTCAATTCCGGGCTCAGGGAAGGAGTCCTGATTGGTTTGATATCTGAGTGATGTTTACCATTTGTTGATTCTCTTCCCCTCCATGAATCATTTTGAATTTTCCTTTCTCTGTGCACCTGGGAGGTTACCTTTGGTAAGGCTCAAAAGCCAGACATATTGGCAGTTTTGTAACCACCCAATGGGTTCACCTTGCCTGCTTCCTAGAGAGAGCTGATTTTGTAACCACCAAATGGGTTCACCTTGGCCACTGCTAGATAGACCCTATTTCTCAAGATTTGCAATAGAGAAAGAGTAATTCACACAGAGCCAGCTGTGTGGGAGACTGGAGTTTTATTATTACTCAAATCAGTCTCCCCGAGTGTTTGAGGATCACAGTTTTTTTTTTTTTTGTTTTGTTTTGTTTGTTTGTTTCTTTTTGAGACAGAGTTTCATTCTTGTTGCCCAGGCTGGAGTGCAATGGCAGGATCTCGGCTTACCGCAACCTCCACCTCCTGAGTTCAAGTGATTCTCCTGCCTCAGCCTCCCGAGTAGCTGGGATTACAGGCATGCACCATCATGGCTGGATAATTTTGTATTTTTAGTAGAGACGGGTTTTCTCCATGTTGGTCAGGCTGGTCTTGAACTCCCGACGTCAGGGAGGATTACAGTTTTTATGGACAACTTGGTGGGTGGTGGGAAGCCAGTGAGCCGGGAGTGCTGATTGGTTAGGTAGGAGATGAAATCACAGGGAATTGAAGCTGTTCTTTTGCACTGAGTCAGTTCCTAGGTGGGGGCCACAAGATCCGATGAGCCGGTTAATCGATCTGGGTGATGCCAGCTGATCCCTGAAGTGTAGGGTCTGCAAAGTATCTCAAGCACTGATCTTAGGAACAGTTTAGGGAGGGTTAGAATCTTGTAGCCCCCAGCCAGGCACTGTGGCTCATGCCTGTAATCCCAGTACTTTGGGAGGCCAAGGTGGGTAGATCACCTGAGGTCAGGAATTCAAGACCAGCCTGGCCAATGTGGTGAAACCCTGTCTCTACTAAAAATGCAAAAATTAGCTGGGCATGGTGGCAGGCACCTGTAATCCCAGCTACTTGGGAGGCTGAGGTAGGAGAACTGCTTGAGCCCAGGAGATGGAGGTTGCAGTGAGCCAAGATTGCACCACTGCACTCTAGCCTGGGCAACAGAGTGAGACTACATCTCAAAAAAAAAAAAAAAAAAAAAAAAAAAAAAAAGAATCTTACAGCCTCCAGCTGCATGATTCCTAAACCATGATTTCTAATCTTGTGGTTGATGTCAGTAGTCTAGTTCCCAGGCGAGGAGGTTTGTTTTTGGGAAAGGGCTGTTATCATCTTTGTTTTAAACTATAACCTATAAACTAAGTTCCTCCCAAAGTTAGTTCAGCCTACACCAAGGAATGAACAAGGACAGCTTGGAGGTTAGAAGCAAGGTGGAGTCGGTTAAGTTAGATCTCTTTCACTGTCTCAGTCATAATTTTGCAAAGGCAGTTTCAATCTTGCATGGCTAGAGTCGGGTAATAAGACATTTAAAAGGACTTTTTTTAAAAGAGCACTATGGTTAAAAGTCAGCTTAATTGAAAGTGGATATCCAAACTATAGATATATCTAAAGGGCCCTTATGTTTTTTTTTCTTCTTGGATCTTGTTTTGCTGGAAAAAGGTTTTTTTTTTTTCTTCTCAGTTAACTGAATTATTTTTCTCCGTTTTGTCTTGCCACTCTTATGCACACATGAGAAGCACTAAGATAACTTCTGGTAGCCTGGGACTCATTGGGAAAAACAGGAGGTGCCACAAGACCCTGTTTTGGGAAACCCTCTGTTTTCCTTATGAAACCCCAAGAATTAAAAGTGGATAGATCCCTCTCAAAATCTGTTTTTGTCTTCCAGCTGTGCCTGCTTATTAGACCTTAGAAACTGCATGTTTTCCTTGCCCCTGTTTCTTGAAGGGCTCCACCCTGAGGCCAGTAATCCAATTAAGAAACTGGCTAGCTGGGCATGGTGGCTCTCGCCTGTAATCCCAGCACTTGGGAGGCCAAGGCTGGTGGATCATTTGAGGTCAGGAGTTCGAGACCAACCTGACCAACATGTTGAAACCCCTTCTCTACTAAAAATACAAAAAAATTAGCCAGGTGTGGTGGCGCATGCCTGTAGTCCCAGCTACTTGGGAGGTTGAGGCAGCAGAATCACTTGAATCTGGGAAGCGCAGGTTGAAGTGAGCTGAGATCACACCATTGCACTCCAGCCTGGGCAACAGAGCAAGACTCCAGCTCAGAAAACAAAACAAAACAAAACAAAAAAACAAGAAACTGGGCCAGGTGCAGTGGCTCATGCCTGTAATCCCAGCATTTTCAGAGGCCGAGGTGGGTGGATGACTTGAGGTCAGGAGTTTGAGACCAGCCTGGCCAACATGGTGAAGCCCTATCTCTACTAAAATTACAAAAATTAGCCAGGCATGGTGGCAGGCGCCTGTAGTCCCAGCTACTTGGGAGGCTGAGGCAGGAGAATTGCTTGAACCGAGAAAGTGGAGGTGGCAGTGAGCTGAGATTGAGCCACTGCAGTCCAGCCTGGGTTATAGAGCGAGACTCCATCTCAAAAAAAAAAAAAAAAAAGAAATTAGCAAATGAAAAATCTTACAACTACTGGATTTTCTTCTGTCTGTTTGTGTAGTTGTATATATGTGTTATGTGTGTGATGTTTGCATAAAAGGACTCTGATTAATTGGCTTAAAGAAGAATAAGCACCTGCCGGCCATGGTGGCTCACACCTGTAATCCCAGCACTTTGGGAGGCCAAGGCAGGCACATCATGAGGTCAAGAGATCTGGACCATCCTGGCCAAAATGGTGAAACCCTGTCTCTACTAAAAATACAAAAATTAGCTGGGTGTGGTGCTGCGCACCTGTAGTCCCAGTTACTCAGGAGACTGAGGCAGAAGAATCGCTTGAACCTGGGAGGAAGAGGCTGCAGTGAGCCAAGATTGCACCACTGCACTCCAACCTGGCAACAGAGCAAGACTCCGTCTAAAAAAAAAAAAGAAAAGAAAAGAAAAATAAGCACTTCGATCAAATGTTTTGAAAGAAAAAAACTATAATGCCTTTTAGTTCATGTGACTTTAGTAGTCTTTGGGAAATAAAAGCAGTTTTAAAGATTATTAGTAAAATATGGGAGGCTGAGGTGGGTGGATCATGAGGTCAGGAGATCGAGACCATCCTGGCTAACATGGTGAAACCCTGTCTATACTAAAAATACAAAAATTAGCAGGGCATGGTAGCATGCGCCTGTGGTCCCAGCTACTCGGGAGGCTGAGGCTGGAGAATCACTTGAACCCAGAAGGCAGAGGTTACAGTGAGCCGAGAATGTGCCACTGCATTCCAGCCTGGCGACAGAGCAAGACTCCATCTCAAAAAAAACAAAAACAAAAAACAAAAAAAACAGATTATTGGTAAAATGCAAATGTCTTCAAAATGTAAACGTGTTCTAAATTACGTTCAAATATTAGGTTTGCCAAATTATTTAAGGTCATAAACTGCTTCTTTGGCTTTTGAAAATAGTTCAACTTGCCTGCTTTACAGCTTGGTAAGGCCTGGGGACATATGGAATTAACCACGCCCCCAGCTGTGCTGGAAAGAGTCAGACCATATTTGTACCTAGTACATAATTAAAATAAGTTACCAGGTTTTACATTAAAATTAAAAATTGCTAAGAGTCATCATTGTAACATACAATTAAGACTACTAAAAATAGTTTTACATGCAAGGTGTGTGAGGAGAGTAAAATGTGTTTTTGGTAAAAGATTGTAAGAAGGCATGGGAATGTACATTTTTGTAAACCTTTAACATATTTAACAGGCTTCCCAAAATCAAATTTCAGCCTCAGAATTGTCTTTTCTCATCTCTAAATTTGAGATGCTACAGAGGGCCCCTGAAGCATTTAAAAGAGAGGTAAACAGGATTATTTGACGTGGTTAGTTACATGGGAAGCATTGTCAAAATAAAAAAAAGATTTACTCTTCTTCAAGTTATATTTTAGTGAATGATATTAATATATGTTCCAAAATTGTATGGAATTTCTACGTTCTAATACATCTGAGTATATGGTATCAATCATAATTGTAGCCTGCCAGGATCCCTGGGGGACTGAACAAAGCGGGGAGAACGCGGGAATAAAGAGACAAAAGAATATGTTTGGAAGAAGGAGTCAGGAGGCAACTTGCCTCTAGTGGACAAGGGCCCTGAGCTTTACACAGCCCTCTGTATTTATTAGGCAAAAAAGATAGTGAGAAGCGGGGTGGAAGAAGGGACCAGCTGCTTGGTCTACAGTAGTCTTGTAAGACTGCATTCTCTAGATGTCCCAGTAAATAACCTCAAGGAGCTCGGCACCAGGAAGCGATTGCCCTCAGCAAATCTTCTGGGGCAGGCACAGAAGCGAGTTTGCCCACATCCTGCATTCATGATAAATCATATAGCCTCCAGTGGAATGCTAGGTTGGTCATGATCCCTTTGACCTTTTTGGCTCCCAACACATAATTATGTTGTTAGGCCAGGTGCAGTGGCTCATGCCTGTAATCCCAGCACTTTGGGAGGCCGAGGCGGGCGGATCACAAGGTCAGGAGTTCAAGACCAACCTGGCCAACATAGTGAAACCTCGTCTCTACTGAAAATACGAAAATTAGCCAGGCACGGTGGCCCGTGCCTGTAGTCCCAGCTACTTAGGAGGCTGAGGCAGGAGAATCGCTTGAACTCAGGAGGTGGAGGTTGTGGTGAGCCGAGATTACACCACTGCACTCCAGCCTGGGCAACAGATTTAGACTCCGTCTCAAAAAAATGAAATAAGATTAAAAAAAAAAAAGCATAATTATGTTGTTATTGTAGACCACAGAAATAACCAGCTCTCCTTGTCAGAAGTGTTTTAACTATTACTATTTAAAATCATTTGAATTCCATGGTCTAAGATAAATTATCTGTAAAAACCCATTGGTTATCAGTGCTATGCACCTAAATTAGAGAAATAACTGGTATTCAAGAGGACATAAGTCCAATGTTAAGCATGGACTCATGGAGAACCAGGATGGCTGCCTTGTCTTTCCTGAGTCCCTAAAGGTTTTGTTATTAAAGGTTATGGTTTCTATGACTCATCATGGAAAAGACAAAATGATCCAATTTAAATACATATTGGTTTGCTGACTTATAAATTGCTAAAGTAGTTCTTTTTTGAGACAGAGTCTCACTCTGTTGCCCAGGCTGGAATGCAGTGGCGCGATCTCAGCTCACTGCAATCTCCGCCTCCCAGGTTCCAGCAATTCTCCTGTTTTAGCCTCCCAAGTTGTGGGGATTACAGGCGTGCGCCACCATGCCCAGCTAATTTTTGTATTTTTAGTAGAGATAGGGTTTCACCACGTTGGCCAAGCTGGTCTCGAACTCCTGACCTCAAGTGATCTGTCCGCCTCAGCCTCCCAAAGTGCTGGGATTACAGGCATGAGCCACCACACTGACCTGCTAAAGTAGTTTATAACCAATGTTTGGTTTGTCAAATCCATATTTTTGGGAAGACAGTCAAAGCTTCAGGTACATTTACCTGATGGGTCATTTAAACACTTACAAAAATATTTCATTTAATTGTCATTTTCTTTTTTTTGGAGACAGAGTCTCACTCTGTCATCCAGGCTGGAGTGCAGTGGTACAATCTCGGCTTACTGCAATTTCCATCTCCTGGGTTCAAGCAATTCTCCTGCCTCAGCCTCCTGAGTAGCTGGGATTACAGGCACGCACCACCACACCTGGCTAATTTTTGTATTTTTAGTAGAGATGGGGTTTCGCCATGTTGGCCGGGCTGGTCTCGAACTCCTGACCTCTCAGGTGATCCGCCCGCCTTGGCCTCTCAAAGTGCTGGGACTACAGGCGTGAGCCAGCACGCCTGGCCGAGAAGTTCTTAAACAGATATCTAGAGGTGTATTTTGTCTAGTGGAGTGAAACCCACTGAGATTTTTAGAAAACCCCACAAAGTTTTTAAGAAAATTGTTCTGGCTGGCTGGGCGTGGTGGCTCATGCCTGTAATCCCAGCATTTTAGGAGGCCTAGGCAGGTGGATCACCTGAGGTCAGGAGTTTGAGACCAGATTGGCCGACATGGTGAAACCCTGTCTCTACTAAACATAACAAATTAGCCGGGTGTGGTGGTGGGTGCCTGTAATCCCAGCTACTTGGGAGGCTGAGGCAGGAGAATTGCTTGAACCCAAGAGGCAGAAGTTGTAGTGAGCTGAGATCACGCCATTGCACTCCAGCCTGGGAAACAAGAGCAAAACTCCGTCTTGGAAAAAAAAAGAAAATTGTTCTGGCTGAAGAATAATTCCAGTTCCACTATGAGCTGGAACTTAAAAGGCAGAGAATACAAAATTAAAAGAGAACTTTGAACTCCCCTTTTCCATCTAGGAGGCAGGTTAAATTTAATTGCTAACTCATTTTCTTATGGAAAATAAAGGTTTCAACTCAGGAGGTAGAACCAAAAGCTACAGAGAACAACTCACAGAGAGTAAATTGAACACTAATGAAGGAATTGGCAGCGTGTTCTCCGGTGTGTTTCAGAGTTGCTACAGGCTAGTGACAGCTGTGTGCCACATTTTCCCCATTTTTGAACAGGACTGTCTATAGGAGTTATCTTATACTTCTCCCACCATTGTATTATGGACATGCATCTGTGAGGATAGCTAACTTGTTTGTTTCAAAGCCGTTCAGATTGAGAAGAAGGATATTCAAGGAGCTATACCCAAGGGACTGTTCTGAGCCTCATCTATACCTGGATCTGATATAGATGATGAAATATTGGACCTTCAGCCTGAGTGCGATGCTATAATGAAATGAGATTTTTGGGGGAGAGGGTATAGAAGAGGAATGGGTGTTATTTTACATGTGGAGGAATGTATGGCCAGAAGGCAGACTGTATTTGCCAAAGATGGTTACAATTATTTCCCATTCCACATGCTCTTCTCCAGAACCTTGCCACTCTCCTTTCAAGAGGCAGACTATGCTCTCCTTGAACTTTGGTTAGCCTTTGACTGCCTTGTTCAATAGAGCATGGGAGAGTGATAGTATGTATAATAGCTTCCAAGACAAAGCTGAACAAAGGTCATGCAGAATTGCTTGCTAGGCTTGCTAGGCTCTCTTGGAGACTCTACTTTTATGGCAGGGAGGTTGGTGCTGGCTGTCAATTGGGAACTCAGGAAGGGATATGATTTAGGGGGTTCTCAATTTCTCTCCATCTGGGCCTTCTTGCTAATTACTTGGGCTGAGTTTCAACCCCTCAGTCAAATTACCGCAGCCCGTGTCACTTCGAACAGTGGTGATCCATTCCTACCCAGTCCTGTCCCATTTGCAGACTCTTGAGAAAAATACATGGTTAGTGTTTTAAGCTGCTGTTTTAGGGTGGTTTGCTACACAACAATAGATAACTGAAACACACCTGAAAACATAGTCACATAAAACAAAAACAATCTATTTTGCTCACAAATCTGCAGTTTGGACAGGGCTTGAGAGGGACATCACTGCTCAGTGGAGGTTATGTGAAGTCTCCACCGAGATTTAAATGGCTGGGGGCTAGGATGATCTGGAGGTGTTTTTCACTCACATGTCTGGCACTTGGGCTGAGATAACTGAGACGCTGACCACAGTTGGGACTGTCACAGGAGTGCCTGTGGTTGGCTTATACATGTATTTTAAGCTTCATCACAGCATCACAGCATCACATCCTCAAGGTAGTCAAACTTCTTTTTGTTTTTTTTTTGAGACAGTCTCGCTGTGTTGCCCAGGCTGGAGTGCAGTGGTGTGATCTTGACTCATTGCAACCTCTGCCTCTCAGGTTTGGGAGATTCTCCTGCCTCAGCCTCCTGAGTAGCTGAGATTACAGGCACCCAACACCACACCTGGCTACTTTTTTGTATTTTTAGTAGAGATGGGGTTTCACCATGTTGGTTAGGCTGGTCTCGAACTCCCGACCTCAGGTGATCCGCCTGCTTTGGCCTCTCGAAGTGCTGGGATTACAGGTGTAAGCCACAATGCCTGGCCTAATTTTTGTATTTTTAGTAGAGATGGGGTTTCACCATGTTGATCAGGCTGGTCTCAAACTCTAGACCTCAGGTGATCTGCCTGCCTCAGCCTCTCAAAGTGCTGGGATTACAGGCATGAGCCACAGCGCCTGTCCCAAACTTCTTACATAGTGGCTCAAGCTCCAAAGGCAGGTGTTCCTGGCAAACACGGTAGAATCCTCACGGCGTTCTATGACCTCGCCTGCAAAGTCACTGCCGCTCTACTCTAGTGACTGAAACAGTCACAAGTTCATCCAGATTTGAAGGAAGGGGACATAGGTCTCCCATCTCTCTCTTTTTTTTTTTTTTTTGAGACGGAGTCTTGCTCTGTCGCCCAGGCTGGAGTGCAGTGGCATGATCTCGGCTCACTGCAAGTTCTGCCTCCCGGGTTCACACCATTCTCCTGCCTCGGCCTCCCAAGTAGCTGGGACTACAGGCGCCTGCCACCACACCCGGCTATGTTTTTTTTTTTTTTTTTTTTTTGTATTTTTAGTAGAGACGGGGTTTCACCATGTTAACCAGGATGGTCTTGATCTCCTGACCTCATGATCCGCCCACCTCGGCCTCCCAAAGTGCTGGGATTACAGGCATGAGCCACTGCACCCGGCAGGTCTCCCATCTTTTGATGAGGGAAATGCCAATGAATTTACAGCTATGTTTTAAAATTACCATAAACAAGCCTGGTGCAGTGGCTCACACCTGTAATCCCAGTACTTTGGGAGGCTGAGGCAGGTGGATCACTTGAGGTCAGGAGTTAAAGACCAGCCTGGCCAATATGGCGAAACCCCATCTCTACAAAAGAAATAAAAGGCCAGGCGCGGTGGCTAATGCCTGTAATCCCAGCACTTTGGGAAGCCGAGGCAGATGGATCACAAGGTCAGGGATTTGAGACCAGCCTGGCCAATATGGTAAAACCCTGTCTCTACTAAAAATACAAAAATTAGCCAGGCATGGTGGCAGGTACCTGTAGTCCCAGCTACTCGAGAGGCTGAGGCAGAAGAATTGCTTGAACCTGGGAGGCAGAGGTTGTGGTGAGCCGAGATTGTGCTATTGCACTCCAGCCTGGGCTACAGAGCAAGACTCCTTCTCAAAAAAAAAAAAAAAAAAAAGAAAAGAAAAAAGAAAAAAAAAGAAAAAGAAATACAAAAATTAGCTGGGCGTGCTGGCACATGCCTATAGTCTGAGCTACTTGGGAGGCTGAGGCAGGAGGATCACTTGAACCCGGGAGACAGAGGTTGCAGTGAGCTGAGATCGTGCCACTGCACCCCAGCCTGGCCAACACAGCAAGACTCTGTCTCAAATAAATAAATAAATAATGGCCGGGCATGGTGGCTCACGCCTGTAATCCCAGCACTTTGGGAGGCCGAGGCGGGTGGATCACGAGGTCAGGAGATCGAGACCATCCTGGCTAACATGGCGAAACCCTGTCTCTACTAAAAATACAAAAAATTAGCCAGGCGTGGTGGCGGGCACCTGTAGTCCCAGCTACTTGGGAGGCTGAGGCAGGGAGAATGGCATGAACCTGGGAGGCGGAGCTTGCAGTGAGCTGAGATTGCGCCATTGCACTCCAGCCTGGGTGACAGAGCCAGACTCTATCTCAAAAAAATAAATAAATAAATAAATAAATAAAATAAAATTACCATAAACAGTTTTACTGTGATAAGCGTAGTTTTTCTTTGTATTTATTCTGCCTGGCATTTACAATTCTTCTTGAATATGTGGCTTGATGTCTTTGACATCAGTTTTGGAAATTTCTCAGCCATTATCTTTTCAAATACGCTTATATTAATAAATGCTATGTAAGCTGGGCGCGGTGGCTCATGCCTGTAATCCCAGCAATTTGGGAGACCGAGGCAGGTGGATCACTTGACATCAGGAGTTCAAGACCAGCCTGGCCAACATAGTGAAACCCTGTCTCTACTAAAAATACAAAAATTAGCCGGGCATGGTGGCACATGCCTGTAATCCCAGCTACTCGGGAGGCTGAGGCAGGAGAATCGCTTGAACCCAGGAGGCAGAGGTTGCAGTGAGCTGAGATCATGCCACTGCACTCCAGCCTGGGCAACAGAGTGACTCTGTCTCAAAAAATAATAATAATAATAATAATAAATGCTATGTAGTGTCAATGTCAAGGAGACAAAGGAGTGATTCCTCTAGGGTTACCACAGTACGATTTTCCAAGTTCTATTCTTTTTTTTTCTTTTGAAACGGGGTCTCGCTGTGTTACCTGGGCTGGAGTGCAGTGGTGCAATCACGGCTCACTGCACCAATCTTGACCTCCCGGGCTCAAGCAATCGTCCCATCTGAGTCTCGAGTAGCTGGGACTACAGGTGTGTACCATGTTTGGCTAATTTTTGTAGGGATTGGGTTTTGCCATGTTGCCTAAGCTGGTCATGAAATCCTGAGCTCAAGCAATATGCCCCCCTTGACTTCCCAAAGTACTGGGATTACAGGTGTGAGCCACTGTACTCGGCCCCAGGGTCTGCTCTTAGAGAGGAAGTGAGAGGGAAAATAGATCGTAGTAATTCACCCTTGGAAGAGAGTACAGACTTAACTATTCTAGAGACAGGTCTCATCTCCTCCTGTCAAAAGAGTCTTCTCTCACGTTTATAATGAAAAGGTCAGCTGCCTTTCCTCATATTAACACCCCTCTGTATGTTTCTGGCCAAAGAAAATTCTACCCTGCTACTGATGGTTGAACAGCAAACATTAAGTGACCATTCTTTCATAGTGATGGAAAAAGTCACCAGCTTTAAAGCTCACCTGTGACTCAAAACATTAACTAAAAAAATCTAGAAGGAAACACAAATGTTAACTGGTGGGAATGTTTTTCACTTATATGTGTCATATGCCTCTTAATCTTCTACAACAAGCAAGTTACATTAGTAAAACTAACGACAAAGCTTATTCAACAAAGTTACGTAAAATACACCATTAATGACAAAGACATGGCTTTAATGTTATCCAGGAGACATCTGATTCACATAGGGTTACTGAACACTAGAATCTGATCTTGAATCTCTCATGTCAACAACAGACAAATGCATTACAATTTAGGGACAGCTGTTTTCTGGGTACCTCCCAGGTGTTTGCAGAAGAAGGCTAGAATTTGCTTCCAGGCATCTTCCTGGGCCTTAGAATGAGCCCTGGGCTCCCCACCCCATATAACATGTTTGTTCAGTAATCTGTGAAGGGAAGCTGGGCACAGGGGGAAGTAAGGAGGCTCGATGTAATGCCCAGTCCCAGGGTAACAGATGATCTGGGGTTTTTCCTTTCCATGGGCCTGTAACCGTTCAGAGACTGTTTGGGCATACAACTCACTTCTCCAGTTATGGTCATCCTGACCAACAATGAGCAGGATGGGCCCCTGGGCCTTCTCTATTGGAATCATGCTGGGGTTCTTGTACCCTCCTACGAGAGCATTCCTTATATCCACAATGTCCACGAGGCCTGAGAAAGCTACCTTGATTCTCCTCAGGTCATAGCCCAATGGTGGAATGCTACTGTGCTTATAGTTGATGGCTGTGTTCCCACTGATCCCAGATCCATTGATGGAAACTGTGGCTGAGACATTCTTCAAGAATGAGGCCATTGAGAGACAAATATCAGCTCCTAGAGAAATGCCCAAAAGCCCAATGCCTGGGCCTTTTACCTGGAAGAAAAGAAGAGAGGAGAGTTGAGTCAATAACTTATCCAGATTGGGTGCGGTGGCTCATGCCTGTAATCCCAACACTCTGCGAGGCGGAGGCGGGCGGATCACTTGAGGTCAGGAGTTTGAGACCAGCCTGGCCAACATGGCAGAACCCTGTCTCTATTAAAAATACAAAAAAAAATTAGCCGAGTGTGGTGGCGCACGCCTCTAATCCCAGTTACCTGGGAGGCTGAGGCAGGAGAATTGCTTGAGCCCAGGAGGCGGAGGTTGCAGTGAGCCGAGATTGCGCCACTGCGCTCCAGCTTGGGTGACAAAGCGAGACTCCGTCTCAAAAGATAAATAAATAAATAAATAAATAAATAAATAAATAAATAACTTATCCAATGCAAAAACATTTTTCTAAAATGCAAACAGAGATGCTGCTAGCTTTAATCTGGGAATCATCCACAAGAAAATCAACCTCAGCTGACAGGGGAGTTTCTTCCCATGTGCAGAATATCTGGCTGAACACATGGCAAACACATCTTAAAATCACTGAAAAACTTGGAAACTGGTTATAAGCATTTCAGAGAATTATCCACTAGAGAATGCTGAGCCGCTGAGCCGCTGAGCCACAGATCCCATCAAGTTCAGGGCCACATTCAGGTAGGTCTGACTGAAGTCTTCATGTGGCAATGCATCCAATAGTGTGGAACCAGGTTGTTTCAAGATGTGAATCATTCATCAGATCATTTGCCATATGTATTGGCAAATGATTACAAAGCAAGACTTCAGAGTAAGTAAGTTTGTTCTTGGCTTCTGAAAGGGGTGGACAAGTTCTGACCAAAATCTGAGAACATACTCTGACACCAGGAAATTAAAATTTAAAAACAAGCATGCAAAGACAGTAGATTAGAAATTCAATTTGCAATATACAGATAATATTTAATATTACTAAATAAAATCTCATGTGGATTTTACAATTAATTCTATATCACAAATTCATCTGACAGAAAAAGTGGAAATAGCACCTTAAGCCAAGGAAGTCTCCAGAAGACATCTTTGTGAAAGAGGAACAGAGCAGCATTTCTGCACGTGGTAAAGGTTACACTCTCTATGGAAATATTTCTAGAGAGACTGATTAAATAAAGGACATGAGGAGAACCTGGGGATGTTGAAGCATGTAGCATACGGCTTCTTCGAAGTACTCCAGGGATATGTTGTCCATGTTATTGGGGAGATCTTCAAAGTTATAATAAGCTAGAGCCAACGTGGCAAAGCCATGGCCAGCAAGGAGGCTGGCTCGATATTCCAAGAGGCCCCCTCCAATACCAAAGATGTCAATGATCCCTGGGAAGGGTCCAGGTCCTAGAGAACAAAATATTATAAATGTAAGCCATTATACAATTTAAAGAATTTGCTTTCCTGGCTGGACACTGTGGTTCATGCTTGTAATCTCAGCACTTTAGGAGGCCAAGGCAGGAGGATTGCTTGAGGCCAGGAGTTCAAGACCAGCCTGGACAATGTAGTGAGACCCCATCTCTACAATCTTTTTTTTTTTTTAATTAGTCAGTGTGGTGGTGTATGCCTGTAGTCCTAGCTACTTGGGAGGCAATGGAGGGAGGATCACTTGAGCCCCAGAGGTCAAGGCTGCAGTGAGGTGTGACCACACCACTGCACTCCAGCGTGGGCAACAGAGACAGACACTGTCTCAAAAAAAAAAAAAAAAAAAAGAAAGAAAGAAAAGAAAAAAGATTGAAACAAAACTTTATGTTCTGTTGCATCAGCCCTCTGGTTTTTAGTGTACTGATATTTCAGATGTCTATGTAGAAAGGGAGGAAAGAAAAAGAAATACCCAGAGATGGTTTTAGGTGAGAAAGGCAGTGGAGTCTGAAGTGTGACCTGTGATAAAGCAGCACATGAAGAAGTGGAGAAGAGACAGTGTGCCTAGAACACTAGAGAAGACGACATGGTAATAGCTTCATTCACTGTCATCATTCTGCCTTAGACAAGTCAGGCTGATGCCTGTAGAAATCTGTAGGGTAGTGATTAATAGCAAAGTGGATAATGTACCTGACGACCTGAACCTGTTTTTTCATCTGCAGAATAACAATACCAACTTCATTGGGATATTATAGAGACTAACTGATAGAATGCAAGTAAAAACCGTAGTACACAGCCTAACAAAAAATCCTTTTTTTTCTTTTTTCTTTTTTTGAGACGGAGTCTCGCTCTGTCACCCAGGCTGGAGTGCAGTGGTGCGATCTCGGCTCACTGCAACCTCCATCTCCCAGGTTCAAGCGATTCTCGTGCCTCAGCCTCCCGAGTGGCTGGGACTACAGGCGTGTGCCACCAGGCTGGACTAATTTTTGTATTTTCGGTAGAGTCAGCGTTTCACCATGCTGGCCAGTCTGGTCTCAAACTCCTGATCTCAAGTGATCCGCCCATCTCGGCCTCCCAAAGTGCTGGGATTACAGGCGTTAGTCACCACGCCCGGTACCAAACCCTCTATTTTGGTAGAGTGGCCACTGACATAGTCAATGTTAGCTTCTCTGATCTTGCTCCAAAACCAAACCAGTGCTAAATCAGCACTGGAAACAAACGGAGACTCAGGCCACTGACGCTCACACCACCCGCCAGCAGCCTGGCTCACCTGGCGGCAGGAAGAGCGTGGCGCGCACCCGGCCCGCTCGCACCGACTGGCGCCGCACCCCTGGCGGGAGGAAGTGGCGCTCGTGCTGCGCCTGGCACAGCAGCCGTCCAGGCTCGGGGTCGTGGCCGTCCAGCACCTCCAACTCCACGACAAAAGGAATCTGTACGTCCCGCTTCAGGAAGCGCCAAAAAGGCTTCTCGGGTTCCAGGGCCCAGAGCAGCCCCATGGGCTCGAGTCCCGCGAAGCTGCCGCCCAGCGCGGGTGCGCGCTCCAGGTCCAGCTCGCCGCGGGCGTCGGCGCAGTAGCGCGCGTGGGCCCGGAAGAGCGCGCCCTTCTCGTCGCGCAGGGACGCGCGCAGCGTAACCCGCTGCTCCGGGGCCAGGCCGCGCACGGCAATGCGCACCGGCTCGTTCCAGCAGCAGCGGCCTGGGGGCTCCAGGATCAGCGTTGCTGACATCTTGGAGCCGGAGCGGGGAATTCAAAGGTCGAGGCCCGAGACCCGTCCAAGATCGTGGCAAGCGCGCCGAATGTCCGGACGGCGTCCGGCGTCCCCTGGTGCCGGAAGCTGCCGGTGGCTGAGCAGTCCCAGAAAGCCCCTGGGACTTCAGACCGGTTAACCCGGCGCTCCGGACTCGTCTGAGGCAAAAGTAGCCAGGCTCCTCTTCAGGGTCGTCTCCTTGGGCCCCGGGGCGCGCAAGGTGTGGCGCCCAACCCACCCCGTAGAAAGCCTCTCTGCCTCACACCACCCTCGGTTGTTGGAATGAAAGTTGTTGGATGATCAATTTGTGGTGAAACCAAAAGCCAATGAGATCAAGCCAAATTCCAGCCTTTCATGGGCTCCATGGAAGGTTTTGTTTTTAACTTTTTTTTTTTTTGAAACAGAGTCTCCTCTGTCGCCCAGGCTGGAGTGCAGTGGCGCTTCGGCTCACTGCAATCTCCGCCTCCTGGGTTCAAGCGATTCTCCTGCCTCAGCCTCCCGAGTACCTGGGATTACAGGCGCGCGCCACCATGCCGCTAATTTTTGTATTTTTAGTAAAGAGGGAGTTACACCATGTTGGCCAGGCTGGTCTTGAACTCCTGACTTCAAGTGATCTTCCCGCCTTGGCCTCCCAAAGTGCTAGGGATTACAGGCGTGAGCCGCTGCGCCCGGCCTGCTTTTTTGTTGTATTTGAGACAGGGTCTCTCTCTGTCATCCAGGCTGCAAGGCGGTGGCTCGATCACAGGTCACTGCAGCCTCCACCTCCCAGGCTCAAGTGATCCTCCTGTCTCAGCCTTCGGAGTAGCTGTGACTACAGACAGCGCACCACCATGCCACGTTAATTTTTAAATGTTTATTTTTAGAGAGGAGGTGTCACCCTGTTTCCCAGGCTGGTCTCGAACTCCTGAGCACAAACTATCCTCCTGCCTCTGTAGTCCCAAAGTGCTAGTGATACGTGACAGCATGCTGGCTGCCCTCGCTCGCTGTCGGCGCCTCCTCGGCCTTGGCGCCCACTCTGGCCGCGCTTGAGGAGCCCTTCAGCCCGCCGCTGCACTGTGGGAGCCCCTTTCTGGGCTGGCCAAGGCCGGAGTCGGCTCCCTCAGCTTACTGGGAGGTGTGGAGGGAGAGGCGCGGGCGGGAACCGGGGCTGCCCGCGGGGCTTGCGGGCCAGCGCGAGTCCCGGGTGGGCGTGGGCTCGGCGGCCCCGCACTTGGAGCGGCCGGCCGGCCCGCAAGCCCCGGGCAGTGAGGGGCTTAGCACCTGGGGCAGCAGCTGCTGTGCTCGATTTCTCAGCGGGCCTTAGCTGCCTCCCCGCGGCGCAGGGCTCGGGACCTGCAGCCCGCCATGCCTGAGCCCCCGCCCCCGCCGTGAGCTTCTGCGCGGTCCGAGCCTCCTCAACGAGCTCCGCTCCCTGCTCCACTAACGCCCAGTCCCATCGACCGCCCAAGGGCTGAGAAGTGCGGGCGCACGGCGCGGGACTGGCAGGCAGCTCCACCTGCGAACCCCGTGCGGCATCCACTGGGTGAAGCCAGCTGGACTCCTGAGTCTGGTGGGGACTTGGAGAATCTTTATGTCTAGCTAAGGGATTGTAAACACACCAATCAGCACCCTGTGTCTAGCTCAGGGTTTGTGAATACACCAATCGGCACTCTGTATCTAGCTAATCTAGTGGGGAGGTGGAGAACTTTTGTGTCTAGCTCAGGGATTGTAAACGAACCAATCAGCACCCTGTCAAAACGGACCAATCGGCTCTCTGTAAAATGGGCCAATCAGCAGGATGTGGGTGGGGCCAGATAAGGGAATAAAAGCAGGCTGCCAGAGCTAGCAGTGGCAACTTGTTGGGGTTCTTTTCTACGTTGCGGGAAGGTTTGTTCTATTTAGTTTTGTAATAAAGGTAGCTCAGTTTTTGGGCCCGCACTGCTGTTGTGAGCTGTAACACTCATTGCGAAGGTCCGCAGCTTCACTTCTGAAGCCTACCAGACCACGAACTCACCAGGAGGAACGAACAACTCCAGACATGCCGCCTTAAGAGCTGTAACACTCACCGCAAAGGTTTGCAGCTTCACTTCTGAGCCAGCAAGACCACGAACCCACCAGAAGGAACAAACTCTGAGCACATGGGAACATCAGAAGGTACAATCTCCAGACACGCTGCCTTTAAGAACTGTAACATCTCCGCGAGGGTCTGTGGCTTCGTTGTTGAAGTCAGTGAGACCAAGACCAGTCTGGAAACACCAGGATTATAGGTGGGAGCTACCTGCCGTGCCTGGCCATACATGTCAGTTTACTTAAAAAAAGCTTTTTGATGAAATATAAGGTAGGCTAGGCACAGGGGCACACACTTGTAATCTCAGTGCTGTGGGAGGCCGAGTTGGGCGGATCGCTTGAGGTTGGGAGATCTAGACGAGCCTGTCCAACATGGTGAAACCCGCCTCCACTAACAATACAAAAATTAGTGGGGCATGGTGATGTGCACCTGTAGTCTCAGCTACCTGGGAGGCTGAGGCAGGAGAATTGCTTGAACCTGGCAGGCAGAGGTTGCAGTAAGCTGAGATCATACCACTGCACTACAGCATCGGTGACAGAGCGAAACTTTCAAAAAAAGGAAAGGGAAAAAGAAAAGAAAAAAGGGAAGGAAGAGAGAAAGCAAAAGTATTGGAGATAGTAAAAAGATCAGTAGTTGCCAGGGATTGTGGGGAGGGAGGGATGAATAGTTGGAACAATTTTTAGGGCAGTGAAGCTGTTCTGTATGATACTGTAATGGTGGATACATGTCATTATACATTTGTCCAAAACTGTAGATGTAGAACAAACGAACCCTAAAGCAAACTAGAGATTTGGGGTGATAATGGTATGTCAGTGAAGGTTAATCAATTGTAACAAATGTACCATTCTGGTGGGGGATGTTGATAGTGGAGATAAGGGAACTATGCAAGTTTTGGGGGGCACAGGGAGTATATGGGTAATCACTACCTTCTGCTCAATTTTGCTATGAACCTGAAACTGCTTTAAAATATAAAACGTAAAAAAAAAAGTAAACAACCCAGATAGCTCAGTTGATAGAGCATCAGACTTTTAATCTGAGGGTCCAGGGTTCATGTCCCTGTTCCTTAATTTTTTTTTAACTTTTTAATTAAATTAAACACAAAAAAGAAAAGTAAATGTATTGGATGGAAAATCAAGAGTGGGTCTGGCTTAACATTTGATTGATCCAATGGCTAAATGATGACACCAGGAACCTCTTCTTTCTGTCTTCTCTGCCATTAATAACATCATAAGGTGGCTGTCAGTGTAATTGGGGCCTCATCCTTTTTTGCTTATGTTGAGTAGGAGGGAGAAGATTCAGATTTCTAAGAAAGGTCCAAGTCACATATTTTCTCCTGTCATCGAATGTTGAAGTTGGCTTAAACCAAATGGAGATTGCCACCATTGCCCCTGGGATCAGGGTGGAGTTAGCATTCCCTAGAACCCATAGCTGCAGGGGGAGAGGCAGTGAAATCAGGAATTCTCCTAAAAGAAGTGTAATACATGCTGAGCAGGTACCTGACAATGAGTGTAACGGAGGAACTTCACATGACGGTACTGATGGCTTTTTGAAATCTAGGGCAGGAAAGGACGCTTTTAAAATTTAGAGAGATAGGCCGGGCTCGGTGGCTCATGCCTGTAATCCCAGCACCTTGGGAGGCTGAAGCGGGCGGATCACTTGAGGTCAGGAGTTTGAGAATAGCCTGGCCAAGATGGTGAAACCCTGTCTGTACTAAGATACAAAAATTAGCTGGCGTGGTGGTACGGCCCTGTAATCCCAGATACTGGAGAGGCTGAGGCAGGAGAATCGCTTGAACCCAGGAGGCAGAGGTTGCAGTGAGCCGAGATTGTGCCATTGCACTCTAGCCTGGGCAACAGGAACGAAACTCCGTCTAAAAAAAAAAAAAAATGAGAGAAATAAAATGTGGGTCTAATAGGAGTTATGATTATTAATGGGGCAAATTAAGGAATTTGGAAGTTGGAGACTGACTTTAAGAAGACTGTGTTGTATTTAGATTTGAACACAATTTGACATAAAATATGTGTTGGAAAACAAAATAATTAAGCGCATTAGCAGTATTTTGCTGCTAGATAATTCTCTCCCAGTTTATCTTCAATCCTCAAAATCAAGTGGGAATGGGAGGTCCCGTGGAAACAAGTCAGGGGAGATAAATTAAATCCACTTGTGTTCCTAGCAGAAATTTTACTGATAATCAGAATAGTAATAAGTATTGAAATAAAGCAAAAACAAGTGGATGGGCCAGGTGCAGTGGCTCATTCCTGTAATCCTAGCACTTTGGGAGGCCAAGGCGGGCAGATCACTTGAGGCCAGGAGTTTGAGACCAGCTTGGCCAATGTGGCAAAACCCCGTCTTTACTAAAAATGCAAAAATTAGCTGGGTGTGGTGGCCCACGTCTGTAGTCCCAGCAATGTCCCGGGAGACTAAGGCAAGAGGATTGCTTGAACCCAGGAGGCGGACGTGGCAGTGAACCAAGATGGCATCACTACACTCCAGCTAGGGTGACAGAGCAAGACTCTGTCTCAAAAAAAAAAAAAGTGGATGTTGCCAAAAGGGGAGCGGGGGGAGCAAGAAGTCTGTGTCAAAATATATCCTATTTTTGATAAATCTCCAAACAAGTATGCAAATACTCCTGTCAGTAGGCTCAATCAACGGTCTATCTTGACACCCCGAAGCTAATGCAGAGAAAAAATGCCCAAGAATGACTGGCAGCTGTTCGTGGGGCTGAAGAAATCATCTTTTTTTTGTTTTTGTTTTTTTTTACACCAGGCAGGGAATCATTTAATTTTTCTATATTAGGGAGGAAATTGAGTAAACTCAATATTTTGTGGTAATATCCCCATAAAACTAAGAGAAAAATACAAACAAATAATTGAACACTTGTGGACTTCAGTATGGAACTAAAACAGAAAATGTTTTGCCAGCACTTTGGGAGACCCAGGTGGGAAGACTGCTTGAGACCAGAAGTTTGAAACCAACCTGGGCAACAGAGCAAGACTCCATCTCTACAAAAAATTAGCCAGGTGTGGTAGTGCATACCTGCAGTCTCAGCTACTCAGGGAGGCTGGGATGGGAAGATGGCTTGAGCCCAGAAATTTGAGGCTGCAGTTGAGCTATGATCACACCAATGCACTCCAGCTCTGGGCATCAGAGCAAGACTGTCCCTAAAACAATTTTTTTTTTTTTTTTTTTCAGACAGAGTCACTGTGTCTCCCAGGCTGCAGTGCAGTGGTGCATCTTGGGTCACTGCAACCTCCACCTCCTGGGTTCAAGCAATTCTCGTGTCTCAGCCTCCCAAGTAGCTGGAACTACAGGTGCATGCCACCACGCCAGGCTAATTTTTTGTATTTTTAGTAGAGGCGGGGTTTTACCATGTTAGCCAGGCTGGTCTCCAACTCCCGACCTCAGGTGATCCTCCTGTGTTGGCCTCCCAAAGTGCTGGGATTACAGGCATGAACCACTGAGCCTGGCCTCTAAAAAAAAATTTTTTTTTTCTTTTTGAGACGGAGTTTTGCTCTTGTTGCCCAGGCTGGAATGCAATGGCGTGATCTCGGCTCACGGCAAACTCTGCCTCCGGGGTTCAAGTGATTCTCCTGCCTCAGCCTTCCTGAGTAGCTGGGATTACAGGCATGCGCCACGATGCCCAGCTAATTTTGTATGTTTAGTAGTGACAGGGTTTCTTCATGTTGGTCAGGCTGGTCTTGAACTCCCGACCTCAGGTGATCCACTCGCCTCGGCCTCCCAAAGTGCTGGGATTACAGGCCTGAGCCACTGTGCCCAGCCTAAAAAATTTTTAAGTAAAAATAAAAAATAAATGTTTTCCATAAGAAAAGAAATCATACTGGTTTGGCAGTTTACGTTTTTTTTTTTTTTGGTTTTTTTTTTTGCGACAGAGTCTCACTCTGTCGCCCAGACTGGAGTGCAGTTGTGCCACCTTGGCTCACTGCAGCCTCCACCTCCCAGGTTCAAGCAGTTCTCCTTCCTGCCTCAGCCTCCCAAGTAGCCGAGATTGCGCTGCTGCACTCCAGCCTAGGGGACAGAGCAAGACTCTTATCTCAAAAAAAAAAAAAAAAAGAAAAAGACAAAACAGTGGTCTCCTATACTTTTTTTTTTCATTCCCTTCCCAGTGTATCCTCCACAGCAATGATTTTTATTTAACAAACCTAATACCCAATGTGATAGTACTTTTTTATTTTAATTTTTTTGGGGTTCTAGTCCTGCTCAGTTGCCCAGGCTGGAATGCAGTGGTGCGATCCCGGCTCATTGGACCTCCACCTCCTGGGTTCCAAGTGACTCTCATGCCTCAGCCTCCCCCGTAGCTGGGATTACAGTCGAGTGCTACCAAGCCCGGCTAATTATTTTTTGGATTTTTAGTAGAGACGGGGTCTCACCATGTTGCCCAGGCTGGTCTTGAACTCCTTAGCCCAGGTAATCCGCCCACCTCAGCCTCCCAAAGTGCTGGGATTACAGGTGTGAGCCACCATGCCCAGCCTCAATGCGATAGTATTAAAAAGTGGGGACTTGGCACCTGGGGGAGAAGAAGGGGAGGCACAGGACCCCAGAAAGTGTCCTGAGCAGGAGGCTTGTGTCCTAGGGGGTGGAGCACCAGCCCTGGTGCTGACCTGTGACCTTGCCCTGACCTAGGCCTGTCCTGCTGGGCCAGGCAGGGGCTATGGCAGATGAGCGAGACAAGGTGGCCAGGTCGTGAGACAGGAACAGTGGGAGTCAGGAATGCTGGATAGTGTGTGCATGGGTGTAAGAAACCCGGGATAAGGCCCATGGGGGATGGAAGGGAGCTGGTGGGGGAGCTGCCCACACAGACAGGCCTGGGTGGCACCCAGGTCAGGGGCCTCAGACTCATGGCATAAGACAGGCATGAGGTGTTGGGGGTCTGGGTGAGGGGGTTGACAAACTGCCAGGCTGGAGCAGCGGGTTATCTGGAGGGCCCAAGGTGTTACGGGATCAGGAAGTGGGGGACACTGGAGTGTTTATGGGGTGCTAGAATAGCTGTGGGATGCACTGGTCTAAATTGGGGTTGACATTGGTTGGGACATGGGGAGGTTGATTTGTGTCGGCACAGGGGATTGTGGGAATGGGGGCTGGTAGGGTCTCAAAAAATGGGGCCCAAGCTCAGAAGGAGAAGGCAAATGAGGATTAGGGAGGGGATGCTGTAGTTTAGAATGAAGCCTCTGCCTCCTCTGAGCTTGGAGCCTGGGAAAGGGGCCAGGGTGGGTTTATGATGGTACAGGCAGTGCTGGGGGCTCCCAACAGGCCCCGGGCAAGGAAGAGGCTGCAGAATGCCCACTCTGCTGTTACAGACCAATTACACTGAGACAGCAGGGTTTGCAGCACAGAAAGAGCTTCATGATCACAGGGCACCTAGCAAGGAGATGGGAGGAGACCCTCAAATCCATCTCCTTGAAGAATTCTGGGCTGGGGTTGTTACCAGTGGAAGGTGTCTGAGTTACTGGTGGCGAATCTGTACAGGTCTGCAGCAACTTCAGTTCTTGCCTCCTCAGAAGAAAGAATTTGACTGAGGGGCATAAGGCAGAAAAAGAGATGGAGGTGAGTTTCAGAGCAGAGTGGAAGTTTATTTAAAAAGTCTTTAGGACATGAAAGAAAGGAAAGTTCACTTGGAAGAGACCTGACCGGGCACCTGAAGGTCAAGAGCCCCGTTTAACTGTGATCCTAGGACTTTATAGGCTCGCCTCTTTCTCATGATTCTTCTCTGAGGGTGAGCTGCCCTCATGCTCTGTGCTCTCTTTACCTTTCGGAAGTGAGCATGCACAGTGTGTGTAGGAAGTTGTATACATGCCCATCTGAGGCTTTCTTCCCTTTTCCAGTGGAGTGTCCTGGAAAGGTCATACATAGCCATTTTGTCTGTTTTTTTTTTTAGACGGAGATTTACTCTTGTTGCCCAGGCTGGAGTGCAATGGCGTGGTCTCAGCTCACTGCAACCTCGGCCTCCCGGGGTTCGAGCGATTCTCCTGCCTCAGCCTCCTGAGTAGCTGGGACTACAGGTGCGCACCACCACACCCGGCTAATTTTTGTATTTTTAGTAGAGACGGGGTTTCACCATGTTGGTCAGGCTGGTCTCGAACTCCTGACCTCAGGTGACCCATCCACCTCAGCCTCCCAAAGTGCTGGGATTACAGGCGTGAGCCACCGCGCCTGGCCTGCCATTTTGTCTCTTAATGCACGTGCCCAGGAAGTTGCTTCTCCCTGGCACCTGCATTCAATTAACACTTTAATGTTAACAGCTGTGGATCATCAGGAGATTGTCTCACTCTGGCGCTCTGGCACCAACCGCCAATTTTCAGTTTAGAGAGGCAACGTGGTAACTGTCGAACCATCACCTGACATTCCTAGTGAGTGAGGGAGAAAAGCCCTCTCCTTCCCTGCTCAGCTCTATGTAACTACCTATAACAGGGTTTTTAAAGGGATCATGGAGGGTAAAGGGCTAGAAAATTGGGCTTATTGATTGGTTGGGGTAAAGGGGATTAAATTTTCAGGAGGTGGAAACTGCATTCTTTTTTTTTTTTTTTTGAGACGGAGTCTCACTCTGTCACCTAGGCTGGAGTGCAATGGCACGATCTCAGCTCACTGTAACCTCTGCCTCCCGGGTTCAAGTGATTCTCCTGCCTCAGCCTCTCAACCTCCAAGTAGGTGGGACTACAGGCACATGCCACCACACTCGGCTAATTTTTGTATTTTTAGTACAGACGGTGTTTCACTATGTTGGCCAGGCTGGTCTTGAACTCCTGACCTCGTGATCCGCCCGCCTCGGCCTCCCAAAGTGCTGGGATTATAGGTGTGAGCCACCGCGCGCAGCCAAAACTGCATTCTTTAGTGAGTGAGTTCCTGTGGGGTCCTTCAGAGAAGCTGGAATCAGCAGTTTCATTGGTGGCTGATATGACAGCTCGGTTTTTGTCATCTGGTTTAAAAGAATTTAAATGAGACACACAGCGAAAGAAGTGCAGCATAGAGTAATTTATTGCAAAGGAAAAAGAATATTTTGGAAGTTACATGCAGAATGGACTGTATACCGTGAGAGAGAGGGTTCAAGGCAGGCTGCTCATAAGGGTGAGACAGCAGAGACTGGCAGTAGGGAGACTCCCTTTATGGGAGTCTTACATGATTATTCATAAGGTGGTGGGAAGAGGTGTTGCTAGTAAGCATGTTCCGGGTGGTCTTCTGGGTGCACATGCACAGTAGCTGTACATGCTTGTTCATATGTCACATGTCTCATTAGCATATTACATCTCCATGTAGGGCTGTCTTCTACTATTATAATGAGCAAAATGTCAGTTTGAGGACAGGTAAAATCAAAATGCTCATGCTGTCTATGGGGGAAATTCCCTAATGAAGACAGCTTTGCTTGAATGAGCGCAATGACAATGCGAATGCTGAGGCTCACTGTGTTGACTGTATGGGTGCCATGGTCGCTGCATCCTGAGAACACGGTCACTCCCTTAAGTACCTATCCTGCCTCAGTTTCATTGCTACGCAGGACCTGAAAGAATATCTCAAATGGAAAAGTTAACGTTTTATAATGTTCCAGTTGTTATCTATGAGCAGTGAAGGGGAACTATGACCTTGTGACAGGGTCTATGTGACTCTGGAGCAACAGGCAGCAAACAACTCTGAGCAAGTGGGTCAGAGAGCAGCTGACCTCATGACCAATGCTGTGTGTGCTGCAAGCTGGGCTGATTTCCATTTCGCCCCTCCCTTCTCCCCTGATTAATTTTATAAAGTTGATAGGGAAGGTTTCAGTGGGATCTTGGCCACTCTCATAAAGGAGGCTGTTCTGAGGGGCTGGGAAGGAGGCCTCATGAGAGGAGGAAGGGCTCCCAGGGAAGGGCTTGGGCCAGGGTCCCTGATGTTGGGGTGGAGTGGAGGGCAATATTAGCTTCAGCATGTGCAAAGAAGGTGGCTTGGGGGTTCTGAGTGGTTGGGGTGCTACTGTGGGAGGGGGGTCACCTTCAGAGAAGGGGCAACAGGAGGTGGGAAGCCCTGGTAAAGATTCAATTCCCCAAGTGGCCCAGATGCTCTAAAAATGGCTTGCCTCAGGGACTGTCCACCACCAAAAAAATCTCAGCACTCTCTCTTGGTATTTAATCAGGTAAAGCCCCAGGATCTGAAGCCCCAGGTTCAGATCCTGCCTTGCCATTGGCTTGCAGGATCTATGACCTTGGCAAATGGCTTTGCCCCTTGCCTCAATTTCTTTTTCTGCAGAATGTGACAGGAATGTTCTCTACTTCCTTGGGGGTGTTTAAAACATTAAATAATGATTAGCTCTAATAACTAATACATTGAAGCCTGAGGCCCAGGGCTCGATGCATGATTGTTAATTCCTCCCAACAAGATGGGATTGTTGTTATACCCATTGTATTGAGGCCTGGAGCCCCTGAGATACACACACACACACATACACAGACACACACACACACATCACGAGGCATTTGGGAAGTGACTGTCATGAGGGTGGAACCCTCATTAATGGGATTGGTGCCCTTATAAAACAGGTTGAAGAGAGCTGCCTTGCTCTTTCCACTAGGTAGGACACAAGATGGTGCCATCTATGAGGAACAGGCCCTCACCAGACACCAGATCTGTGGGTGCCTTGATCTTGGATTTCCTAGCTTCCAAAACTGTGAGCAATACATTTCTGTTGTTTATAAATTACCCAGTCTAACACATCTTGTTACAGCAGTTGAAGAGACTAAGACAAGTGTCCTCACCACAAGAAAAAAAAAAAAAAAGTGTGAGGTGATGGATAGGTTAATTACCTGGAATTACCTGGTTAATTACCTGTGAATCCTTTCACAGTGTGTTAATATACACATATCAAAACACTATGTTGGGTTGGCACAGTGGTTCATGCCTATAATCCCAGCACTTTGAGAGGCCAAGGTGGGAGTGTAACTAAGCAGGTTAGCAGCTTAGCCTCAAACCTTAAGACTTTTTTTTCCTTTCCCCCTTTCTCCTCCCCCAGTGAGTCTCAAGATAGAACTCTGAGACCATCTGCATATGAGTTTCCTTTCATCTTGAAATACACCCTCAGAATGTGCTGAACCTCCACGCCCTTTCTTTTCCCATTCTGTGCTTCTGTGCCTTATGCACATGTATTTACCTAGATGCTTGTTAAGTACACACCATTACCTGGTCATATATTTCCTTCAGCTTCAGGGACTGGATCTGGATATGGACCAGATATCTCTAGCCACCATGATGGCACTGGCTCCTTCACCAGATGAAACAATACTTCAAAACAAGCCAGTGGAGCAGGTCACGCCACCCGACAACTCCTAGTTCCGCTGCCTCTTCTGCACTCCAAACTCTCTCTTCAAAAGCTCCTGGATTCCCTCCACAAATTGAAGAGTGGAAATATTTGCAAATAACTACACTCACTTCTCCCCTTGCTAGCATGGATAATAAAACTCACTCTCTTTATCACACTTCACTCTTATTATATTGGCTTCTTTTTACAAGTGGCGAGCAGCTGCACCGTTCTACTGATTACAGGAGGATCACTTGAGGCCAGGAGTTCGAGACCAGCCTGGGCAACATAAGACGCTGTTTCTACAAAAAATTAAAAATTAGCTGGGCATGGTGGCAAATACCTATAGTCTCAGCTACTCAGGAGGCTGAAGTGGGAGGATGGGTTGAGCCCCCAGGAGTTTGAGGCTGCAATGAGCTATGATAGCGCCACTGCACTCCAGCCTGGCCAGAGCCTGTCTCTTAAAACAAAAACAACCCCCTGCCCCACCCATCACTTTGTATACTTTTTATTTTTTGAGACAGGGTCTCACTCTGTTGTCCAGGCTGGAGTGCAGTAACACAATCTTGGCTCACTGCAACCTCCGACTCCCAGGTTCAAGCGATTCACCCACCTCAGCCTCCCAAGTAGCTGGGACTACAGGTGCACACCACCATGTGGGCCTGGCAAATTATTTTATTTTTTGGTAGAGATGGAGTTTTACCATGTTGGCCAGGCTGCTCTCGAACTTCTGACTTCAAATGATCCACCCACCTTGGCCTCCCGAAGTGACGGAATTACAGGCATGAGCTACCGTGCCTGGTCCATGTTATACACTTTAAATATGCTTTTAAAAACCATGCCCATTGGACGTGGGTATTGTTTACGTAGTGGTTCCCTTTAAAATTATTCATGATGGCCAGGTGCAGTGGTGTATGCCTGTAATCCCAGCACTTTGGGAGAGGCCAAGGTGGGAAGATTGCCTGAGCCCAGGTGTTTAAGACCAGCATGGGCAACATAGGGAGACCCCATCTCTACTTTTTTTTTTTTTTTTTTTTTTTTGAGACGGCTTTTGCCCTTTTGCCCAGGCTGGAGTGCAGTGGCACGATCTCGGCTCACCACAACCTCCACCTTCCGGTTTCAAGTGATTCTCCTGCCACAGCCTCCCGAGTAGCTGGGATTACAGGCGCCCAGCACCACGCTCGGCTAATGTTTGTATTTTCAGTAGAGATGGGGTTTCACCATGTTGACCTGGCTGGTCTCAGACTCCCGACCTCATGATCCCCTCGCCTTGGCCTCTCAAAGAGCTGGGATTACAGGCATGAGCCACCACACCCAGCGTTTTTTTTTTTTTTTTTTTTTTTTTTTTTAATTTTTTTGAGACGGAATTTCGTTCTTGTTGCCTAGGCTGGAGTACAATGGCGTGATCTCGGCTCACTGCAACCTCTGCCTCCTGGGTTAAAGCAATTGTCCTGCCTCAGCCTCCCAAGTAGCTGGGATTACAGGCGCATGCCACCATACCTGGCTGTTTTTTTTTTTTTTTTCTTTTTTTTGAGATGGAGGCTGGCTGTCGCCTAGGCTAGAGTGCAGTGATGTGATTTCAGCTCACTGCAAGCTCCACATCCCGGGTTCACGCCATTCTCCTGCCTCAGCCTCCCGAGTAGCTGGGACTACAGGCACCCGCCATCACGCCCTGCTAATTTTTTGTATTTTTAGTAGAGATGGGGTTTCACTGTGTTAGCCAGGATGGTCTTGATCTCCCGACCTCGTGACTGCCCACCATAACCTCCCAAAGTGCTGGGATTACAGGCATGAGCCACCGCGCCTGGCCAATTTTTGTATTTAGTAGAGACAGGGTTTCATCACATTGGTCAGGCTGGTCTCGAACTCCTGACCTCAGGTGATCTGCCCACCTTGGCCTCCCAAAGTGCTGGGATTACAGAGGCATAAGCCACCGCACCCGGCCTCTATTTTAAAATCAATCAATCAATCATTATGGAGCATGTTAGTTTAATGAACTTTTCGGTCTGTTTCACCACGTTCACAGCTTGCATGGGTTGAAAATAAAAAGAAAAATGCCTGTCAAATAACTAATAAAGACTAACTAGGCTGGGCCCGGTTGCTCATGCCTATAATCCAATCAGTGTGGTACGCCAAGATGGACAGACTGCTTGAGCCCAGGAGTTTGAGACCAGCCTGGGCAACATGGTGAAACCTTGTCTCTGCAAAAATACAAAAATTAGCTGGGCATGGTGGCATGTGTCTGCAGTCCCAGCTACCCAGGGGGCTGAGGTGGGAGGATCACTTGAGTCTTGGAGATCAAGACTGTAGTGAGCCGAGATCATGTTACTGCCACTGCACTCTAGCCTGGGTGAGAGATCCTGTCTCAAAAAAAAAAAAAAAAGATGAAATGTCAAGAGGCTGATAGGTGATCTGAACCCCTGTGATGCTTTTTAAAATTTTTCATGTTATTAAAACATTTTTTTGCCAGGGGCGGTGGCTCACGCCTATAATCCTGGCACTTTGGGAGGCCAAGCTGGGTGGATCACCTGAGGTCAGGAGTTCGAGACCAGTCTGACCAACATGGCAAAACTCCATCTCTACTAAAAATACAAAATTTAGCTGGGCATGGTGGCGGGTGCCTGTATTCCCAGCTACTTGGGAGGCTGAGGCAGGAGAATCACGTGAACCCAGGAGGCGGAGGTTGCAGTGAGCCAAGATCAAGCCATTGTACTCCAGCCTGGGCAACAGAGTGAGACTCTGTCTCAAAAAAAAAAAATTGTTTTTATAAGATCATGTCCCACTATGTTACCCAGGCTGACTTGAACTCCTGGGCTCAAGCAATCCTACTGCCTCAGCCTCCCAAGTAGCTGGGATTACAGGCATGTGCTTCTACACCCACCAGCTCATCTGTAGTGCTTTTAATATTCACCAGCCCGAATTTCTAAGAATGGGGAATAGGGTCCCTAAGGTCTCAAAAGGGCTTCAGCAGACTCAAGTTTGGGATCTAGCATCTACTAAAACAAGTTTTAACTATTGCACTTTTCTAAGAGAGTCATATACTATATAATTGCAAGGGAAAAGATAAAACAATATGACTTGAAATTTTGTGTTGTGGCCTGGCATCTTGGGGTGGGACTTGGCCAGGCCAGCTATGAGCAACTGTCCCAGATTGCATCATCTCTAAGAGTTTTCAGAGCCTCAGGTCATGTGTACTCTAAATGGGGCTCCATGCCCAGCACTGGCATTCTTGTGGAAGTTTGGAGACATGGCACCAGCTGCATTCCTGGGTTGCAGAGTAACACAGGAGGTAGCTTCATCTCAGGGTATCATCTCTCTACTGTAGATCTGGTTATATTCTACTGCTACAAAACCATGAATTCCTTTAGAAAAAAGGTGCCGGAAGCTGGCAGCGGTGGCTCACACCTGTAATTTCAGCACTTTGGGAGGCTGAGGCAGGAGGATTGTTTGAGCTCGGTAATTCAAGGCTAGTCTGGGCAACACTGGGAGACCCCATCTGTACAAAAAATTAAAAATTAGCCAGGCATGGTGGTGTGTGCCTGTGTGGTCTCAGCTGCTAGGGAGGCCGAGGTGGGAGAATAGCTTAAACCTACGAGGTTGAGGCTGCAGTGAGCCGTGACTGTGCCACTGCACTCCAGCCTGGGCAACAGAGTGAGACCCTCTCTCAAAAAAAAAAAAAAAAGAAAAGAAAAGAATAATAAATTAAGGTTTTTTTTCCTTTAAATACAACTAAGGTTTAAAAAAAAAACAAGTTTATTGTGGAACTATTTATATCAAGTGATATAAATATTGTCTTTTTTTTTTTTTTTTTTTTTTTTTTTGAGACTGTGTCTTGCTGTTGCCCAGGCTGGAGCACAGTAGCACGATCTCAGCTCACTGCAACCTCTGCCTCCAGGGCTCAAGTGGTTCTCCCACCTCAGCCTCCCCAGTAGCTGGGACTACAGGCATGCACCACCAATGTCTGGCTATTTTTTTGTAGAGACGGGGTTTTCCCATGTTGCCCAGGCTTGTCTTGAACTCCTGAGCTCAAGCAATCCACTGGCCTTGGTCTCCCAAAGTGCTGGCATTACAAGTGTGAGTCACCAACGCCAAGCCTAAATTGTTATTTAACTTCACATTTGTCATTGTTAAAATCACTTATGTAATTCATCTCAATAATGTTTTATCAGCTTTTGAAACAAATCCTAAAAGTCCATATGTATAAACAGGAATGTAAAATTTATTTGCACTAGGAGAATCCTTATTAATCCAAGGAGAAGATATCAAAGAACTAAATATGTATTGGTTTTGAAAATTTTTAGTAGTTTTATATCTAACTAGTAATCAGTTTATAGGCAAGATGTTAACTTCCATTCTTAAAGGAGGAACTCAAATCTGATACACTTTTTATATTATGTGCTTTTCTTCCACAGTAGGTAATCATTTAATTAATTAATTAATTAATTTTTGAGGCAGAGTCTTGCTGTTGCCCAGGCTGGAGGGTAGTAGCACAATCTTTTCTCACTGCAACCTCTTCTCACTGCAACCTCCGCCTCCCAGGTTCAAGCAATTCTCCTGCCTCAGCCTCCCAAGTAGCTGTGACTACAGGTGCCTGCCACCACGCCTGGCTAATTTTTTGTATTTTTAGGAGAGATGGGGTTTCATCACGTTGGCCAGACTGGTCTCAAACTCCTGACCTCAAGTGATCCGCCCACCTCAGCCTCCCAAAGTGCTGGCATTACAGGTGTGAGCCACCACGCCTGGCTCACTTATACTCATTCAGCAAATAATTATTGAACTCCATTTACGTACCAGACACTGTTAATTGATGTTACTCACTTTTCCTTTCAGAACTAAAGCCTTATCAGTTGTGTGTTGAGATAGGAAGAGGAGACTTTTTCCACTTCTTGTGTTTCCTACAGTTACTCCCTTCCCAAACTGATAAAGTATACAGTTTATAAAAATCTTAAAAACTCATTCTTACTGGTAAATTCATTTTAATAATGAGGGGAAAAAACTTTAGTTATTAAAAACAAAAGAATGAATACACATACACACACTAAATGTGGCAGATGTTTCCAGGAGAGATTAGCAACAGAGAGGCCACATGATCAAATAAAATTTACACTTTTGATGGGATTGTCCCCTCGTGGCCACCCAAGTGTTTGTGGAAGAAAGTCTGGAGTTGTTTCCAAGCATCCACCTGAGCCATGGCATGAGCCCTGGGCTCCCCTCCCCAGATAATAGGACTGCCCACCAAGGCATGCAGGGAAGCCCGACACAGGGGGAAGTAAGGAGGCTCAATATAGTGCCCTGTCTCTGGGTAACAGATGATCTGGGGCTTTCTCCTCCCATGGGCCTGCAAGCGTTTACAGGCCTCATTAGCATAGAACTCACTCTTCCAGTTGTGGTCATCCTGACCTACCAGGAACAGGAAGGTGCTCTCTGCCCTTTCCACAGGAATGAAGCTCTTCTGGTCAGGTCCTTCCAAAGGGCTGTTCAGGACATCCACAATGTCTGCATAGCCATCTTTGGTCACCTTGATGCGATTTCTGTTGACGCCCACAGGGGGCAGGGTCTCGCCCTTGTAGTGTAAGGTTCCCCCAACATTGGCCACAGAGCCGTTGATGACGACAGCAGCCGTGATGCCCTTCAGGAAAGAGGCCATGGAAAGGCAGAGCTCACCCCCTTTGGAAATTCCAAGCAGCCCAACTCCTGGACCTTTTACCTGAGAAAGGGACAAAGGAAAAAGAAGAAGAATGATTCCACAAACAGTGGAATATGGTGAGTTGTGTCCACCCTGGAAGTTAGTTGAACCTGAGTCTGAATCTAGGTTCTACCATTTACCCAGATTTGCAACTTTGAGAATTTACCTCCCCTCTATCTCTTCCTTTCCACAATTTGTCCATCACCACTCTTGGTGATAACCATGTGGAAGATCTATCAATTATTCTCTGGTTTCTCAGTTCCTTAATCTCGTATCTCCCATGATCTTTTTCTGTCTCCCACCTGAGCCACCCATTCCCACTGTCATAACTAAACTGAGTCATCATCAACAAGTACATCATCTCATGGCCGGGAGTGGTGGCTGACGCCTGTAATCCCAACAGTTTGGGAGGCTGAGGCGGGTGGATCATTTGAGGTCAGGAGTTTGAGATCAGTCTGGCCAACATGGTGAAACATCTCTACTAAAAATACAAGAATTAGCCGGGCAGTAGTGGCACGTGCCTGTAGTCACAGCTACGTGGGAGGCTGAGGCAGAAGAATCAATTGAACCTGGGAGGTGGAGTTTGCAGTGAGCCGAGATCATGCCATTGCACTCCAGCCTGGGTGACACAGCAAGACTCCATCTCAAAAAAAAAAAAAAAAAAATACTGGAATTTAAAATTGCATAATAACAACTACGAATCTCTTTACTAGCAGGAAATATAGTAATATAGAATTGAATAGAAACTGTCTATAAGAGGCCAGGTGTGGTGGCTCATGCCTGTAATTCCAGCACTCTGGGAGGCCAAGGTGGGCAGATCACTTGAGGTCAGGAGTTTGAGACCAGCCTGGCCAACATGGCGAAACCCCATCTCTACTTAAAAAAAAAAAAATACAAATATTAGGCTGGGCATAGTGGCTCATGCCTGTAATCCAGCACTTGGGTAGGTCAAAGCAGGTGGATCATTTGAGGTCAGGAGTTCAAGACCAGCCTGACCAATATTGTGAAACCCCGCCTCCACTAAAAATACAAAAATTAGCCAAGCATGGTGGCAGGTGCCTGTAATCCCAACTACTCGGGAGGGTGGGGCACAAGAATCACTTGAACTTGGGAGGTGGAGGTTGCAGTGAGCCAAGATCGCACCACTGGACTCCAGCCTGGCAACAGAGTGAGACTCCATCTCAAAAAAAGAAACTGTCTATAAGAAGTGACTAAAAAAGGTAGTGTGTGTTGGGGTAGGGAATGGCTGTCATGAATGAGCTAACTTCTGTGAAAACCCAGACCATTTAAGAAGAGACCTGATACATCATAGCCCATAAATCTGAAAGAAGAACTAACCTCGGGATGACTGAGCAAGTAGTTCATGGCTTCTTCAAAGTACTCCAGATGGAGCGTCTCCATGGTCTTGGGGAGGTCTTCATAGTTATAATAAGCCAGAGCCATCACAGCAAAACCCTTCCCAGCCAGCAGACTAGCCCGATACTCCAGCAGGCCACCTCCAGTTCCGAACATGTCCACAATCCCAGGAAAGGGCCCAGGTTCTTGGGAAGAAACAAAACAAAATGCAAAACTAAGCTATTCCTGAAACAGTTGGATGGTTTAAGTTAAACATATACTTACCACACATGTGACCCAGCAATCCCACTCCTAGGTATCTACCCACGAGAAATGAAAACCTGTTCGTCCAGAAACCTCTGGCAAGTGTTTATAGTGACTTTACTCGTTGTAGCCAAAGACTGGAAACAACCCAAATGTCCTTTAACTGGTGAATGAATCCATTTAATGGTGCACCACCAAGAAACAAAAAGAAAGACTGCTACATAGAAGAGCACAAATTCCTCTCCAGTGCACTCAACAGAATGCACTTACTCAACGGAGACAGACTCAAAAGGCTACTCATTCTGAATGACTCCACTTACTGATATTTTTATCATTTACATTAAAGGTTTTGTGTTTCACACAAAATTAAATAGTAATAATGCAGGCTGGGTCCGGTGGCTCACGCCTGTAACCCCAGCACTTTGGGAGGCTGAGACGGGTGGATCACCTGAGGTCAGGAGTTCGAGACCAGCCTGGCCAACATGGTGAAACCCCATCTGTACTAAAAATACAAAAATTAGCTGGGTGTGGTGGCGGCCACCTGTAATCCCAGCTACTCGGGAGGCTGAGGGAGGAGAATCGCTTGAACCCGGGAGGTGGAGGTTGCAGTGAGCCAAGATTGTGCCACTACTCCAGCCTGGGCGAAAGAGCGAGACACTGTCTCAAAAAAAAAAAAAAAAAAAAAAAAAATGCAAACACCTTACAGGCAACACTTTTAAGACATAGTTCAGTGCTGATACCCGCAAACCATCAACGTCCCACAGACCCCTGTGCCCTTTCCTCTCTTTCCAGTATCCTGGACTTTCTGTGTATCACTCTTGGTTTTCTTCATAGTATTACCACTTAGATTATGTACCTTAATATTTTATTTTGCCTAGTTTTTGAATTGTATCTAAATGGAATGATACTGAATGTGTTCTCCTAGGGTTTGACTGTTTCACTCAACAGTGGTTTGGAGATTCATCCATGTTGATTCTTTTTTTTTCTTTTCTTTTGTATATCTTGATAGATGTTGATTCTTGTAGCTGTAGTTCAATCACTTTGACTGCTGGAAATATACCTCAATTTATTAATCTGTTCTATTGTTGATGGACATTTGGACTGTTTCCAGTTGACTTTGCTCTTTTTTTAAATTAATCCAGACTGCTCATCTGGCCTCTTATAAGGAATATGCCTCCTGGTGCACATGTACAAGTAGAATAACATATTTAACTTTGTAAGTTAAGACAAATTGTTGCCCAGAGCAGATGAATATGTTGCTCCTTCTAGCAGTGAGTTTCATTTCCTCCACATACTGGTCAGCAATTGATAATGCTAGCTTCTAAAAGTGGGCCACTTCTGAGGGTGTGAAATGTACTCTGTTGTTTTATTTTGCATTTCTTTGATTATTAATAAGGATAAGCATCATTTCATTTTTACACTGGCTGATTGCTCTTTATGTAATATAAAAGTATCCAGTAACCTCAAATTTCCATTTGACAGGAAGAGGTTTTCCTATTGTAAATGCTAATTTACATAAATCTTAACATACTGTGCGAATTCAAAGAAAAGTTGCAAAAATGAGAAACTTTTAAAGAACATTTCTGGGCCCCATACCCCTAGGATCCCGAGAAACCCCAGTGCCCCGGCAGCGATGAGCACAGCCCACGCGTGTGCTGATGGACAGGGACCGCGTGCTGGCAGCTTCCAGACGGCCTCCTGCGGGGCTTCAGCCGCCCCTTCTCAGGGAGCTGCATGTGACACTGCAGCAGCACCGCAGCTTCCTGGTCTGGAAGCAGTACCTCACCCTGCTGCCGGACCTGGTGGATAAAGTGGCCCACGGGTGTGAAGCCCAGGCTTTTCCCTAGTCTTGAAGCCCAACCCCGGAGGACCTTGCAAGAGATGAAGCACATGCAAAACACCGAGGTCTTCACACTGCACCAGCCCCTGCCAAAGTATGACCACTGTGTGGGTGAGAAGCACCGCTGGGTAGGGCAGCACCTGGAGCCCCAGCTTGTGGAGTGAATTATCCTGACAATGGACAAGACCGTGGTCTTTGGGGACTTGCTCACTGATGACAAAGATACCATTCGAGGCCAAGAGGAGAGGCCACAATAGTACCTGGTCCTGCCATGCATAGGGACGCGGCTGCTCTCCTGGAATGGTAACAGGGAGATCATAGCCAGCCAGCGGGGAGCTAGGCAGCAGGAACGAACAGGCCCTGCAGGGGGCAGCAGCTGCAGCTGGAGCAATGGTGGGCGGGCAGGCACCAAAACCTCTGCACTGTCACAGGCCCAGCCACCTGGCACCTCCTAGCTGCCATGGAAATACAGTGAGAAAACCAGTCGGAATTCTTATTTAAAAAAAAAAAAAAGTGGCTTCCTAGTCAATACATAAATAAGAACATTAAAAAATTGAAACTACCTGAATTTTTTTTTTTTTTTTTTAAGATAGAGTCACTCTTGTCCCCCAGGCTGGAGTGCAATGGCATGATCTCAGCTCACTGCAACCTCTGCCTCCCGGGTTCCAGCGATTCTCCTGCCTCAACCTCCTAAGTAGTTGGGACTACAGGCATGCACCACCACGCCTGGCTAATTTTTCTATTTTTAGTAGAGATGGGGTTTCACCATGTTGGCCAGGCTGGTCTCGAACTCCTGACCTCAGGTGATCCGCCGGCCTCGGCCTCCCAAAGCGCTAGGATTACAGGCGTTAGCCACCGCGCCCGGCCTGTTTTGTTTTTAATATAAGTGTCTTTTTCCTTTCCTTACAATGTCTTTTTTTTGAGACGGAGTCTCGCTCTGTCGCCCAGGCTGGAGTGCAGTGGCGCGATCTCAGCTCACTACAAACTCTGCCTCCCGGGTTCACACCATTCTCCTGCCTCAGCCTCCCGAGTAGCTGGGACTACAGGCGCCCGCTACTACGCCCAGCTACTGTTTTGTATTTTTAGTAGAGACGGGGTTTCACCGTGTTAGTCAGGATGGCCTCAATCTTTTGATCTCGTGATCTGCCCGCCGAGACTTCCCAAAGTGCTGGGATTACAAGCGTGAGCCACTGCGCCTGGCCCTTACAATGTCTTTTAACTGAGCACTAGGTTTGAGGGACCTCTCAGTTTTGGAGCGGCAGGGACACTTCCCCAATCAGCTTTCCATTCCATTCCTGTTTCTTTACACTAACCTCCGGAAGGTTGGAAGCTACATCCCTTCTTCGTGTGAAAAGGGCAGGGACGGAAAAAAAAAAAAAGTGTAACTCCCCTCAAAGTGCCGGGCGCGGTGGCTCACCCTGTAATCCCAGCTCTTAGGGAGGCAGAGGCGGGAAGATAGCTGGAGACCAGGAATTCGAAACCTGCCTGGGCAATATAGCCCGGGGGCGCGGCGGGGGGGCATACACATAAGCGAAAAGCGTGGGGCGGGGGAGACACACAAAGTGAAAGGCGAACGAACACGGAACAATTAGCGGAGGTGAGTCACCTGGCGGCAGGAAGAGCGTGCCTCGCACCCGGCCCACGCGCACCGGCTCGCGCCGCACCCCGGGCGGGAGGAAGTAGCGCTCGTGCCGCGTCTGGCACAGCAGCCGCCCGGGGTCGGGGTCGTGGCCATCCAGCACCTCCAGCTCCACGGCCAAGGGCGTTCGCACGTCGCGCTTCACCAGCCGCACCAAAGGTTTCTCGGGCTCCAAGGCCCAGAGCAGCCCCATGGGCTCAAGCCCCGCGAAGCTGCCGCCCAGCGCGGGCGCGCGCTCCAGGTCCAGCTCGCCAAGAGTGTCGGCGCGGTAGCGCGCGTGGGCCTGGAAAAGCGCGCCCTTCTCGTCGCGCAGGGACGCGCGCAGCGTGACCGGCTGCTCCGGGGCTAGGCCGCGCACGGCGATTCGCACCGGTTCGTCCCAGCAGCAGCGGCCCGCAGGCTCCAGGATCAGCGTCGCCGCCATCCGAGCAGGAACCCTAATGATCTGACCAACCTGCCTCAGCTGTGGAGACCCCAGGAACTGCGCCGAACTCTTCAGGCTCCATTGGTACAGCCGGGACGCTCGAAGGACAGCAGGAGATGAGGCCATTTTGAATTCAGACCTGAGAACAACTGAATGGGGGTGGGGAGAAAGAAGCTTGTTAGACATCCTCTCGGGCTGCCGTCGCAGGCTAAGCGCCCACTAGGGCAGAGCTGTCTGCTAACGTGAGCGGGGAAGGCCAGAGTCCAGCCGATCAGCCAGACCAAATATAGACACACTGGAACTTGCTTAAAGTCTCCTGTGTTGAAACCTCCACTTTATGTTGGAAAGCTACTTCCTAGGTTTGCTTTTCAGAAGCTTGCTGGCCTGCGGAATGGGCTGGACCAGGGCTGGTTCTTAAAGAACCAGGCAGCTAGCAGTCTCCAGGCTCCAAACTCCTGATGGCGAAGAGGAATGCAGAGCTGGAGTTAGTTTTGATCACTTTGTTGAATAATTCACACTCATTACTAATCTTAGGGCTTTTCTTTCAAAATCTGCACCATGGTGTTTTGCTTTTGTGTTCTCTGTATATGCCTATCCTCCACATCAATCCCACATCGAAGGGTGCTGGCTTCTTACTAGCTGTGTGACCTCTGAGCTTCATTCCTTACAAGTGTAAAAATAGCCAAATGGGGTAATAGGTAGTAATTTCTCAAACTCCTGACTTTGTAATCCGCCCGCCTCAGCCTCCCAAAATGCTAGGATTTACAGGCATGAGCCACCGCGCCCGGCTAATAGTTATTATTTTGTTTTACTGGTTTCTCAATTATTGTCCCAGTCAGGCAAGGGTTACTTTTTTTTTTTGAGAGACAGGGTCTCACTACATTGCCAGACTGGAGTACAGCGGCAGTTTACCATCACTGCACTTACAAACCTCCAACTCCTGGTGCTCAAGCCATCTTCCTGACTCAGCCTCTCAAATACCTCAAAGGACTACCGGAGCTCCCCATGCATCGCGCTTTTTTCTACTTTTTCGTAAGCTATTGGTTTCACCAGAGGTGTGGTGTTTTTTTTTTTCATCACTTAAGCTTTAGGCCCCTGCCAAGCCCTTGTACCTGATTTTATAATTTCCTACCTGTGTAATTAGAGAAAGCTATAAATGTGTAGGCTTCAAACCCACAAAACCTGTGTTTGCCTCTGCTCCTAATAAGGCTGTCCTCAAGGTAAGCCTTTTTATCTCGTTCCAAATCTCTCATGTCCCACGTCATTAATCATACAATTCCCTGTCAGTTCTAATTACCTTTGTATAACACCTCAAGTATGTTCTGTGCCTAGAACTCTCAGGAAGTAAGAAGGCAAATAATTCTGTGTCTGGAATTGGTTCCTTCTGGTGGATTCTTGGTCTCGCTGACATCAAGAATGAAGCCGCAGACCCTCGCAGTGACTGTTACAGTTCTTAATACAGTTCTGAAAAGTAGTGTGTCTGGAGTTTGTTTCCTCTGATGTTCAGATGCGTCCGGAATGTGTTCCTTCTGGTGGGTTCATGGTCTCGCTTCTCACCGACTTCAAGAGTAAAGCCACAGACCTTCAAGGTGAGTGTTACAGCTCATAAAGGCAGCAGGTCCAGAGTTGTTTTTCTTGTTCCTCTCAGTGGGTTCATGGTCTTGGCTTCAGGAGTGAAGCTGTATACCTTCACGGTGTTACAGCTCTGAAATGCAGTATGGACCCAAAGAAGGAGCAGTAGCAAGGTTTATTGTGAAGTACAAAAGAACAAAGCTTCCATCAGCCTGGAGCGGAACTCACGCAGGTTACCACTACTAGCTGGGGTGACCAGCTTTTATTCCCTTATTTGGCCCTGCTCATGTCCTGCTGATTGGTCCATTTTACAGAGCGCTGATTTTCCATTTTACAGAGTGCTGATTGGTTCGTTTTACAAAGTGCTGATTGGTTCGTTTTTACCCAGTGCTGATTGGTGCGTTTACAAACCTTTAGCTAGACACAGAGTGCTGATTGGTGCATTTACAATCCTTTAGCTAGACAAAAAAGTTCTCCAAGTCCCCACCCAACCCAGAAGCCCAGCGGTCTTCACCTCTCAATAGTAGCTAATGGTTAATACTTACAAGAACCCTATCAGTAAATTAAGGCCCAGAGAATTTAACTGATTTTCTGAAGATCACACAGCTAGAAAGTGGAAGTTGGGCAAGATGGCTCACGCCTGTAATCCCAGTTTACTTGGAGGCTGAGGTGGCAGGGTTGCTTAAGGCCAGGAGTTTCGCACCAACCTGGACAACATAGCAAGACCCTGTCTCTAAAAAGAAAAAGGGGATGGGCGCGGTGGCTCACACCTGTAATCCCAGAACTTTGGGAGGCTGAGGCGGGTGGATCATGAGGTCAGGAGATCGACACCATCCTGGCTAACACAGTGAAACCCCATCTCTACTAAAAAAAAATACAAGAAATTAACTGGGCATGGTGGCAGGCACCTGTAGTCCCAGCTGCTCCAGAGGCTGAGGCAGGAGAATGGCGTGAACCCCAGAGGTGGAGCTTGTGAGAGGTGACAGCGTGCTGGCAGCCCTCACAGCACTTCCTCTGCCTGGGCTCCCACTTTGGCGGCACTTGAGAAGCCCTTCAGCCCACCGCTGCACTGTGGGAGCCCCTTTCTGGGCTGGCCAAGGCCGGAGCCGTCTCCCTCAGCTTGCAGGGAGGTGTGGAGGGAGAGGCGCAAGTGGGAACTGAGGCTGCGTTCCGCACTTGCGGGCCAGCTGGAGTTCCAGGTGGGCATGGGCTTGGTGGGCCCCACACTCGGAGCCGCCAGCTGGCCCTGCCAGCCCCGGGCAATGAGGGGCTTAGCACCTGGGCCAGCGGCTGCGGAGGGTGTGCTGGGTCCCCCAGCAGTGCCGGCCCACTGGCGCTGTGCTCAATTTCTCGCTGGGCCTTAGCTGCCTTCCCACGGGAAAGGGCTTAGGACCTGCAGCCCTCCATGCCTGAGCCTCCCCCCGCCTCCGTGGGCTCCTGTGCAGCCTGAGCTTCCCTGACGAGCGCCGCCCCCTGCTCCACGGAGCCCAGTCCCATTGACCACCCAAGGGCTGAGGAGTGTGGGCTCACGGTGCGGGACTGGCAGGCAGCTCCACCTGCAGCCCCAGTGCACGATCCACTGGGTGAAGCCAGCTGGGCTCCTGAGTCTAGTGGGAACTTGGAGAACCTTTATGTCTAGCTAGGGGATTGTAAATACACCAATCGGCACTCTGTATCTAGCTCAAGGTTTGTAAACACACCAATCAGCACCCTGTGTCTAGCTCAGGGTTTGTGAATGCACCAATCAACACTCTGTATCTAGCTACTCTGGTGGGGACTTGGAGAACCTTTGTGTCAACACTCTGTATCTAACTATTCTGGTGGGGACGTGGAGAACTTTTGTGTCTAGCTGAGGAATTGTAAACGCACCAATCAGTGCCCTGTCAAAACAGACCCCTGGGCTCTACCAATCAGCAGGATGTGAGTGGGGCCAGATAAGAGAATAAAAGCAGGCTGCCCTAGCCAGCAGTGGCAACCCGCTGGGGTCCCCCTTCCACACTGTGGAAACTTTGTTCTTTCGTTCTTTGCAATAAATCTTACTGCTGCTCACTCTTTGCGTCCACACTGCCTTTATGAGCTCTAACACTCACCACCAAGGTCTGTAGCTTCACTCCTGAAGCCAGCGAGACCATGAACTCACCGGGAAAAACGAACAACTCCAGACACGCCGCCTTAAGAGCTGTAACACTCACCACGAAGGTCCGCAGCTTCAGTCCTAAGCCAGCGAGACCATGAACCCACCAGAAGGAAGAAACTCCGAACACATCCGAACATCAGAAGGAACGAACTCTGGACATGCCACCTTTAAGAGCTGTAATGCTCCCGTGAGGGTCCACGGCTTCATTCTTGAAGTCAGTGAGACCAAGAATCCACCAATTCTGGACACACTTGCAGTGAGCCGAGATTGGGCCACTGCACTCCAGCCTGGGCGACTGAGCAAGACTCCTCAGAAAAAAAAAAAAAAAAGGAAAAGAAAAAGGGAGAGGGTTCATACCTTTGAAATCTGATTCTCAAGCCTGGGCTCTGAACAACTATGCTTTAACTGTCTCTCACATGATGTTGAAGAAGATTTAGAAAAGAAACTCATATATTGATGAATGTATAAACTGGTATGACCTTTTCATGGCAATCAGTGCAAAAATACTTAAAAGATCCCTTCTCTTTGACTCAGCTCCACGTCTAGGAATTTCTTTTAAGTAAACCTTAATGAATGTGTGTAAATATTTGGCTACAAGGATGCTTATCATATCATTTTAATAGAGAAAAAATTAGAAACAAGTGAGCAATATGAATTTGGTTTAACCAGTTTAATTGTGATGTCATAAATGAAATCAGTGTAGACATCTAAAGTTATATAGCAGAAGAATATATGATGAGCATTTTTCCATCACACTGATGAAAAAAGCAGGTTAGAGAACAGTATAAATATATTTTTTACCAAGATATTAACATTTTTTAAA
Organism: Homo sapiens; assembly: GCF_000001405.40. Classification (NCBI taxonomy): domain Eukaryota; kingdom Metazoa; phylum Chordata; class Mammalia; order Primates; family Hominidae; genus Homo; species Homo sapiens. Next base: position 73,564,894 of record NC_000014.9, on the reverse strand, counting down.
AAGACTACTGAAACAATACACCAGTAGCTGGGTGCAGTGGTTCATGCTTGTAGTTCCAGCTGTTAGGAGGGAGTCCTAGGCAGGAGATTGCTTGAGCCCAGGAGGAGTTCGATACCAGCTTGGGCAACAGAGCAAGATCTCATCTCTAAAAAAAAAAAAAAAAAAACAAAAAACAGAAAAGATAAGACATGAAAATTAAAAAACACACATCTAACTATTTCAAACTGTTGTTTCTTGAGCCTTGAGGTTTTATGCATAGTATTTGTTTATTTGTTTGTTTGTTTTTTAAGACGGGGTGTCTCACTGTGTTACCCAGGCTGGAGTGCAGTGGTGTGATCATAGCTCACTGCAGCCTCAACCTCCCAGGCTTAGCCAGTCCTCCCACCTCAGCCTCCTGAGCACCTGGGACCACAGGCATGCACCACCACACCTGGCTAATTTTTAAAATTATTTGTACAGACGGGGTCTCCCTATGTTGCCTGGTCTCGAACTCCTGGGCTTAAGCAATCCTCCCACCTTGGCCTCCCTGAGTGTTGGGATTATAGGCAAGAGCCACCACACTGGGCCATGTTTCTTTTTTTAATTTTTTTTTTTTTCAAGACAGAGTCTTGCTCTGTCACCCAGGCTGGAGTGCAGTGGTCTGATCTCGGCTCACTGCAACCTCTGGCTCCCGGGTTCCAGCGATTCACCTGCCTCAGCCTCTTGAGTAGCTGGGATTACAGTCACATGCCACCACGGCCAGCTGATTTTTGTATATTTAGTACGACGGGGTTTCACCATGTTGGCCAGGCTGGTCTCAAACTCCTGACCTTGTAATCTGCCCGCCTCAGCCTCCCAAAGTGCTGAGACTACAGTCGTGAGTCACCGTGTCTGGCCTTAACTCTTATTTTTTTAGAGACTAGGTCTTACTCTGTCACCCAGGTTGGAGTGCAATGGCACCATGATAGTTCATTGCAGCCTTGAACTCCTGGGTTCAAAGGATCCTCCCACCTCCTCTTCCCAAACAAGTGACCCTACCGCCTCATCTTCCCAAAGCGGTGAGATTACAGGCATGCATGGCCTCATTTTAACCATTTATTTATTTATTTTTTTATTTTTAGAGACAGGGTCTTGCTATGTTGCCCAGACTGGTCTCGAACTCTGGTCTCAAGTGACCCTCCTGCCTTGGCCTCCCAAAGCGCTAGAATTACAGGCATGAGCTGCTGGAACAAGCCCATTTTAACCATTTTTAAGTGTACAAATCAATGATATTAAGTACATTACATTGTTGTACAACTATCACCATTATCCATTTCCAGAACTTTTGGAGTCTCGCTCTATCCCCCAGGCTGGAGTGCAGTGGCGCGATCTCAGCTCACTGCAACCTCCACCTCCCGGGTTCAAGTGAGTCTCCTACCTCAGCCTCCCGAGTAGCTGGGACTACAGGCACGCACCACCACACCCAGCTAATTTTTCTATTTTTAGTAGAGATGGGATTTCACTGTGTTGGCCAAGCTGGTCTCAAACTCCTGACCCCAAGTGATCGGCCTGCCTCAGCCTCCCAAAGTGCTGGGATTATAGGCGTGAGCCACTGCGTCTGGCCCAGAATTTTTACATCATTGTACAATGAAAGTCTTTACCCATTAAACTATTGGGGGAACTCGCCCCCAATATTTCAACGTAGGTTCCTTCTATTTTCTATAAGAGTCGGCCGGCTGACAAATAGAGACAGTACAAAGAGAGGAATTTTACACCTGGGCCGCTGGGGGTGACATCACATATTGGTAGGACCGTGATGCCCACCTGAGTCTCAGACCAGCAAGTTTTTATTAAGGGTTTCAAAAGGGGAGCGGGGGTAAGAACAGGGAGTGGGTACAAAGATCGTATGCTTCAAAAGGCAAAAGCAGAACCACTAATAAGGTTCTAACAAAGATCACATGCTTCTGAGGGAATAGGACAAAGGGCAAAAGCAGAACCACTGACAAAGGTCCAACAAAGATCACAAGGCAAAGGGCAAAAGCAGAACCACTGATAAGGGTTGTGTTCAGCGGTGCATGTATTTTCTTGATAAACATCTTAAACAACAGAAAACGGGGTTGGAGAGCAGAGAACCAGTCTGACCACAAATTTACCAGGGTGGAGTTTTCCCAACCCTAGTAAGCCTGAGGGTTCTGCAGGAGACCAGGGCGTATCTCAGTCCTTATCTCAACGGCACAAGACAGACATTCCCAGAGCGGCCGTTTATAGACCTCCCGCCAGGAATGCATTCCTTTCCCAGGGTATTAATATTAATATTCCTTACTAGGAAAATAATTTAGTGATATCTCTCCTACTTGCACGTCCGTTTGTAGGCTCTCTGCAAGAAGAAAAATATGGCTCTTTTGGCCCGACTCCGCAGGCTGTCAGACCTTATGGTTGTCTTCCCTTGTTCCATAAAAATCGCTGTTATTCTGTTCTTTTTCAAGGTGCACTGATTTCGTATTGTTCAAACACATGTTTTACAATCAATTTGTACAGTTAACACAATTATCACAGTGGTCCTGAGGTTATGTACATCCTCAGCTTACGAACATAACAGGATTAAGATATTAAAGACAGGCATAAGAAATTATAAAAGTATTATTTGGGAACTGATAAATGTCCATATTAAGATGAAATCTTCACAATTTATGTTCCTCTGCCGCGGCTCCAGCCGGTCCCTCCATTCGGGGTCCTTGACTTCCCACAACATTAAACAATAACTCCTTATTCCCCACTGCCACCAGCCCCTGGCAACCACTATTCCACTTCCTGTCTCTGAATTTGACTACTTTAGGTACCTCATAAAGTGTAATTATACAGTATTTGGCCCTTCATCTCTGGCTTATTTTGCTTAGCATATTGTCTTCAAGGCTCATCCATATATTTACAGCATATCATAACTTCACTCTCCCCAGGAATTTTGCTCTGTCACCCAGGCTCTGGAGTGCAGTGGCAAGATCACAGTTCACTGCAGTCTCAACACCCAGGTGCAAGCAATCCTCCCATCTCAGTCTCCCCAGTAGCTGGGACGACAAGCACGTGCCACCTCACCTGGATACTTTTTAAGTTTTTTGTAGAGATGGGGGTCTCACTTTGTTGCCCAGTCTGGTCTTGAACTTCTACATTCAAGCAATCTTCCTACCTCGGCCTCCCAAAGTGCTGGGATCATAGGCATGAGCCACCTCACACAGCCATTTCATTCATTTTTTTTGAGACAGAGTTTCACTCTTGTTGCCCGGCTGGGGTGGAGTGGTGCAATCTTGCTTGGCTCACTGCAACCTCCTGGGTTCAAGTGATTTCCTGCCTCAGCCTCCCCAGTAGCTGGGACTACAGGTGTGTGCCACCATGCCCAGCTAATTTTTGTATTTTTAGTAGAGACGGGGTTTACTGTGTTGGCCAAGCTGGTCTCGAACTCCTGACCTTGAGTAATCTGTCCGCCTCAGGCTCCCAAAGTGCTGGGATTATAGGCGTGAGCCACTGCACCTGGCCCATTTCATTCCTTTTTCTTTTTTTTTCTTTCTTTTTTTTTGAGATAAACTCTCGCTCTGTCGCCCGGGCTGGACCACAATGGCGAGATCTTGGCTCACTGCAACCTCTGCCTCCTGGGTTCAAGAGATTCTCCTGCCTCGGTCTCCTGAGTAGCTGGGATTACAGGCGCCTGCCACTACGCCTGGCTAATTTTTGTATTTTTAGTAGAGATGGAGTTTCACCATGTTGACCAGGCTGGTCTTGAACTTTTGACCTCAGGTGATCCACCCTCCTCGGCCTCCCAAAGTGCTGGGATTACAGGCCTGAGCCACCACGCCCAGCCCATTTCATTCCTTTTTAAGGCTGAATAACATTCTGTTGTATGTATCTTCCACATTTTGTTTATCCATTCATTCACTGATGGACATTTGGGTTCTTTCCACCGTTTGGCTATTGTGAGTATGCTGCTATGAACATGGGTATACAAATATCTGTTAAAGTCCCTGCTTTCAATTCTTTTGGATATGTACCCAGAAGTAGAATTGCTGGATCACATAGTAATTCTATATTTAATTTTTTGAGGAACCTTCAACAGGGTTTTGATTTATTAGAAACAGGGTCTCCCTCTGTCACTGAGGCTGGGGTGCAGTAGTGCCATCATAGCTCACTGCAGCCTCAAACTCCTGGGCTCAAATGATCCTCCTGCCTTAGCAGGGTTATAATGTTTAATTTTTTTAGTATTTAATTTTCTTTTTTTTTTTTTTTGAGATGGAGTCTTGCTCTGTCGCCCAGGCTGGAGTGCAGTGGCCCAATCTCGGCTCACTGCAAGCTCCGCCTCCCGGGTTCATGCCATTCTCCTGCCTCAGCCTCCAAGTAGCTGGGACTACAGGCGCCTGCCACCACGCCTGGCTAATTTTTTTGTATTTTTAGTAGAGATGGGGTTTCACCGTGTTACCCAGGATGGTTTAAATCTCCTGACCTCGTGATCCGCCCAACTTGCCTCCCAAAGTGCTGGGATTATGGGCGTGAGCCACAGCGCCTGGCTCAGTCTTTACTTTTCATAACAGAAAACGTACCCTCTGCTTTTTATGGGGGTCTAACCATCTGAGTGCAGCTTGAGCTCAAGTGCTAAAGTCCATATTCAGGTTGGTCAGCAGCAGCAGTCTTGCTTGGAACCAAGAGATGGACCACCTGAATAGCATGACCTGGGTCAACGAGACAGAGCCTTAGGCCCAGAAATCTTTCCTGCTGTCAGGATAAATTAGTTTGTTTCACAAAGGGACTCTTGAAGATCAGAATTTCTGTATCTGTAAGACTTCTATGACTTAAAGAATTTCTGTACGTGTGAAATTATACTATTAGAAATACAAGATTGAAGAGTCTCCTTGTAAAAGCTAGTGTTAATGGCTAATAATCTAGCCAGGATTTAGAGATCAGGGAAAATGGGATTGAACTGTGTGGGCAAAGGAGATTAAGTAGCAGTGGAGGAGCTGAAAGGGGAATGGAAAAGTCGACGGACAGCTTCTACTTTACCATCTGTTTTATCAGCCTGGTAATCTGACGCCTGCCAGAACTATGTGGTCATGTGTTCCCTGCTTTGCCTCTTTCTCAGGATTTATAAACCCTTGTGGTGGGAGAATATGGAGCTGCATATATCTAGAGGGTTTTTTTATTTTTATCTTTTGAGACTGCACTTCACTCTTGCTGCCCAGGCTGGAGTGCAATGGCCTGATCTTGGCTCACTGCAACCTCTGCTTCCTGGGTCCAAGCGATTCTCCTGCCTCAGCCTCCCGAGTAGCTGGGATTACAGGCATGCGCCACCAGGCCCAGGTGATTTTCTTTTTAAATTTTCTATTTTTAGTAGAGATGGGGTTTCACCATGTTGGTCAGGCTGGTCTCTAACTCCTGACCTCAGGTGATCCGCCACCTCAGCCTCCCAAAGCGCTGAAATTGCAGGCGTGAGCCATCGCGCCTGGCTGAGGTTTATTTTTCAAAGAATGACCAAGAGGCTAGGTGTGGTGGCTCACAGTTGCAAATCCCAGCACTTTGGGAGGCCAAGGCGGACACATCACTTGAGGTCAGGAGTTTGAGAACAGCCTGTCCAACATGGTGAAACCCCATCTCTACTAAAAGTACAATTAGTGGGGCATGGTGGTGTGGCCTGTAATGGGAGGCTGAGACAGGAGAATTGCTTGAACCTGGGAGGCACAGGTTGCAGTGAGCCGAGATCGCACCACTGCACTCCAGCCTAGGCAACTGAGTGAGACTGTCTCAAAAAAGAAAAAAGACCAAAAACTCCATGAAACTACCATTCAATAAATAATCAATAAATAAGATGCAATTTCTCAAAGCTCAGTTTACAAAGAAGGAAATTTAATAAATGGTTGAAGATATACCCCCGACTGAACCCACAAGTTCTCTGAGTAGACTCATGGAATTCTAAAGAGTTGGTTGCTTGGAGACTGATAGAAACAGCTTTGGAACCTAAGAAACCAAGGAAGGCTTAAGATGCAGAACCTTGCTTCTCTCTGAGGACTGCCTTTTAGGAGGCCATTTGGAAAGTAATTTTGAAACACTGCTCCTTTGCCAGTATCTGAAAGGTGCTGGATGGTGTCAGCTGGAAGATGAGGGGCAACCTGAGGTAGCTGAAAAAACTTTGGATTAGGTGTCAAAAGGGTCAGTACTACTTTAGATACCAAGCAGTATGGTGATCTTAATGATTTCTCTTCTCTCTGGGCCCCAGTTTTGGGATTTATAAAATCAGGACATTAGGCCTGGTGCAGTGGCTCATGCCTGTATTCCCAGCATTTTGGGAGGCCAAGGTGGGAGGACTGTTTGAGTCCAGGAGTTCAAGACCAGCCTGAGCAACATAGTGAGACTCTATCTCTACAAAAAAAAAAAAAAAAAAAAAAATTTAACCGAGAGTGGTGTGCTATGTGCCTATGCTCCCAGCTATGTGGGAGGATTGCTTGAGCCCAGGAGGTCAAGGCTGCAGTGAGTCATGATCACGCCACTGTACTCCAGGAGAGTGAGACCCTGTCTCAAAAAAAAAAAAACAAATCAAGGCATTAGACCAGGTCATCTTTATAGCAGAGTTTCCAGAGTAATCTCTGGAGATAGCTGTATAGCTGTGTGAGTGCATGGTAAAAAATTAGAAAGTAGAGGGGAAAAAATGAGGGGAACTTTTTGAGGGCAAAAAGGGAGAAAGGGGGACTTGAAACAAGCCAGGTTAAGCAGCTGTTCCCTAATCCCACTCTCCCCACTAACCAGGCTTCCTTCATACACCCCACTGACACCCTTTGGGCTGTGCTTTCTTTAAATGTATTGTGTATTAAACCTGAGAGCTTGTGAAAATGCAGATTTCTAGGCCTCACTTGCAGGCTACTGAATCAGCATTCTGGGAGTAGGACACAAGAGTCTGATGTAAAAGGTTCTTTACCCATATCTATTCCAGGCATAGTCCCAGCATTTCTGGAGGCCAAGGCAGGAAGATCACTTGATTCCAGGAGTTTGAAACCAGCCTGGACAACATAGTAAGACCCTGTCTCTACAAAAAAAAGTTTTAAAACATTAGCCAGGCATGGTGGTGCACACCTGTGGTCCCAGCTACTGGGGACGCTGAGGCAGGAGGATTGCTTGAGCCTGGGAGGCAAGGCTGCAGTGAGCCATGACTGTGCCACCGCACTCCAGCTTGGGTGACAGAGTGAGGCCCTGTCTCAAACATAAATAAATAAACAAAAAACTGTATCTAACAAACACCACCCCAGAAGCTGACTGCACACTCTTGGACTCCACCTCAGAACTTCAGAATCCAAATCTGTTGGTAGAGATGAGAGTATTATTTTTTTAAAGCTTTCAGAAGATACTGATACTAAGGCTTATTGCTTTTTAGTCTTTTCTTTCAAGGCAGTTTCCTCTATTTTAATAACAAGGGAGAATGCAAGATATTACTCCTTTTAGCACATGTTACTCAACCTACTTTGACCACTTGTACAGGATAAAGGTATCAGACCAGAGGGTGAGGGTAAGCGACTGATAAGCAAACAGAAAAGTGGAACTAAATTTGGAATCTCTGAGATACTACCCAGTTTGAGTTGAGTTCTGTATTCATAAAATATTAGAGGCAGGAGAGGAATTTAGTCCAACTCCTACGTTTTCCAGCTGGGGATCTAGGAAGTTCATCAGGTTTTAACTAGAGGCATGTGGCCTAACCCTTCCAACCCCATTCCTCCCCTTCTAGCCCAAGTTCCTAGAAATGCAGATAATGCTGGTGGGTTGCTCATTCCAGGGCCTGGTCTGCAGTTATGCCAGGATTGACTTAGTCAATTTTTTATGCTGTCTATGTACAAAAGGACCCCGGACCTGCCACTCTGCTTTTGGTTCTAGAGGGCTATTTGTTGGGAGTGGGGTGCTGCCTCATAATGCTGGTCACGTAATGTGTAAGTTTCGATAATAAGGAGCCTCCAAACTCCATTAATAAGTCCTTTCTTTCTTCTCTAAGCACCCTCTCTTTTAATTGCTGAGTACCCCATAGCCCTAAATTCTTCCCGAAGCGCCCAGTGCATCTAACTGTAGGACCCAGAGACTTGCCTTCTAAGGACAACAGTCCATCCTCTAAACTAATAATAACAATTCCTCACACATATATTTTAGTTTGCAAAGAACTTTCATACGTTTCTAATTTTGAGGTTCATATCAATCAACACTAAATTAGAACAGGTATCAGACTCAATTTTCAGATTGGGAAACTACAGATTTCAAATTATTTGCCCAAGGTAACATGACTGGGAAGTGCACAATTTGGCCTTACACCTGTCCCGTGACTCCAAGACAGACAAAGACAAGCCAGAACAAGCCTCTTTTGATCAGACCTTGTGTAACATTTTGTTCTGTCCCCATTCCTTTTCAAAACAGACCTATCATGTGTTCCCTTCCTTCTTAATAAGCCATCATATCGGATGATAATAACTATTCCTTAAGTTTTTTTTGTTTTTTTTTTTTGAGAAGAAGTTTCACTCTTGTCACCCAGCCTGGAGTGCACTGGTGTGATCTTGGCTCACTGCAACCTCCGCCTCCTGGGTTCAAGCGATTCTCCTGCCTCAGCCTCCTGAGTAGCTGGGATTACGGGTGCCTGCCACCATGCCTGGCTAATTTTTTGTATTTTTAGTAGAGATGGGGTTTCGCCATGTTGGCCATGCTGCTCTTGAACTGCTGACCTCTGGTGATCTGCCTGCCTCAGCCTCCCAAAGTGTTGGGATTACAGGCGTGAGCCACCGCACCCAGCCTCCTTAAGAATTTCTAATAATTGATAATGGTAATATGGTATTCTTTCTGGGATGTTTGCATTGTAACTAAAGATTCTTTATGTCAAAGGCTAAAGGGCATTTATCTGCGGACACCCTAAATCACTCCTTTTTTTTTGAGATAGAGTTTTGCTCTTGTTATCCAGGCTGGAGTGCGGTGGCACGATCTCGGCTCGCTGCAACCTCTGCTTGTCAGGTTCAAGCAACTCTCCTGCCTCAGCCTCCCAAGTAGCTGGGATTACAGGTGTGTGCCACCATGCCTGGCTAATTTTGTATTTTTAGTAGAGATGGGGTTTCTCCATGTTGATCAGGCTGGCTGGTCTCGAACTCCTGACCTTGGGTGATCCACCCGCCTCAGCCTCCCAAAGTGCTGGGATTACAGGCGTGAGCCACCCACCTAGCCAATCACTCCTTATAGGTAGTCATCTGGGGATGAAATGAGTCCTCATCCCATTTTTCAACTGTTTAGGATCAAATTGCCCCCTGCCTTAGAAGCAAGATGTGGACACACTGATGTGTTAGGAATGTAAAATGTTTTAGAAGAATATGCAAGGCAGGAGAATATTAATGTTCTTTTCATTTGACCATTCATACTCAACCAGTGAGGAACTCCTCTTAACAAGAATCTTATAAGACAGGTCTGATGTCAAAATCTCTCACTTTTTTTTTTTTAACTAAGAATATCCTTATTTCTCTTTCATGTTTGAAGGCTGTTTTTGCTGAATATAATATTCTAGATTGGAAGTTTTTTTGCTTCAGCACTTTGTCACCCCACTCTCTGCTTGTAAAGTTTCTGCTGAGAAGTCTGCTACCAGCCATATTGGAGCTCCTTTATGATGTTATTAATATGTCCTTCTTTTCTCTTGCTGCTTTTAGGATCCTTTTTTAGCCTTGACCTTTGAGAGTTTGATTATTATATGCCTTGAGGTAGTCTTATTGAGGCTGAGTTGGCTTGGTGTTTTATGACCTTCTTATACCTGTATATTCATATCTTTCTCTAGTTTTAGAAAGTTCTCTGTTACTATTTCTTTAAATAAATTTTTACATTGATCTCTCCCTCTACATTCTTTTTTTTTAGTTTAATCATTTTTATTTCAAGTTTATTTAAAAAATCATAAATGGGGTTTCATAATCCAAAGTTGAAACATTTATTCTTCATAGCTTCAGAATTTGACAAGCAATTGTAGACCATGCTTTCCAAATCCAGTCTTCTTTGCTATTTTTCAAATTTCTGAGATCTAGTATTAAACTGCTCCATTCTAAACGTATAGTTTCAGATAAGTATTGTACACTTGTTGATAAGGGTTTTCTGAAAACAGTCTATCAAATATAAAGAATGGTTTCTATCTAAGAATCAGCAGTGAGGGAAGAAATATCAAACACCTATCAAGAAATCAATTATTCATTTTAAAAGTAGCAGAACCAGTGCTGCTCTCTGTCATAAAGGAGAACATGTAAAATTTATTTTTATAGACTTTGGTAATATTTTATTCCCCACAGAGGCCTTCAATCCTACTTAAAGATATTTTACACATAGTAACCATCAGGATTTACTGAGTAAAAATCTCAGGTATTAACCATGCCCCTAAAATGTGCTATTCCAAAGAGGAACAGGTTACTTTTGAGGAAAAAAGCTGCCTTGGTAACTTACCTCAAATATTTATTTCAAATAAAAATAGTTGATGGAAATATTTTTTAAACGAACTTTGGGTATAATATGGCATACTGCCCATCAAACAAAAAAGGAAATCAAAACTTTCTTTCCATTTATAATAAGTTTTCCACTTTTACTATCAAGATTACAACTTATTGACCTTTTATGCTTGCTTGGTTTTTTTGACTGCCTAATCCAATATCTCGGCTCACTGCAACCACTGCCTCTCTGGTTCAAGCGCTTCTCCTGCCTCTGTCTCCTGAGTAGCTGGGATTACAGGCCCCCACCACCATGCCTGCTAATTTTTTTTATTTTTCATAGAAACAGGGTTTTACCATGTTGGGCAGGCTGGTCTCCAACTCCTGGTCTCTAGTGATCTGCCTGCCTTGGGCTCCCGAAGTGCCGTGATTACATGAGTAAGCCACCATGCCCAGCTGGCTAATTCTTTTGTGTACAGATTAAAGCAGAGGGGAACCTCATTGTCATGATAATTAAAGATCAAAACTGGCATGTTTGGGAAATTGGCTGTTATTTCTCTCCTGATTTCTCAGAAGGCCAGGTAACACTTCAGTTTAGGTTGGGTGAAACTTTAGCACAGGTGACGCCATTTTGGTTTTTAGTCTTGTCTATTGGGGCCTAGTGCTAGAGCCTAGTCCAAAACAATGGCCTTAGCGGGGCATGCTAGTGCATGCCTGTAATCCCAGCTACTAGGGAGGCTGAGGCACAAGAATTGCTTGAACCTGGGAGGCAGAGGTTGCAGTGTGCCAAGATTGCGCTGCTGCACTCCAGCCTGGGGGACAGAGCAAGACTCTATCTCAAAAACAAAACAAAAAAAAAGCAAAACAATAGTCTCCTATACTTTTTTTCATTCCCTTCAAGTGTATCCTCCACAGCAATAATTTTTATTTAACAAACCTAATACCCAATGTGATAATACTTTTTTATTTTAATTTTTTTTGGAGATCTAGTCCTGTTCAGTTGCCTAGGCTGGAGTGCAGTGGCGCGATCCCGGCTCACTGGACCTCTACCTTCTGGGTTCCAAGTGATTCTCCTGCCTCAGCCTCCCCCGTAGCTGGGATTACAGGCGAGTGCTACCAAGCCCAGCTAATTATTTTTTGGATTTTTAGTAGAGATGGGGTCTCACCATGTTGCCCAGGCTGGTCTTGAACTCCTGAGCCCAGGTAATCCGCCCACCTCAGCCTCCCAAAGTGCTGGGATTACAGGTGTGAGCCACCATGCCCAGCCTCAATGCGATAGTATTAAAAAGTGGGGACTTGGCACCTGGGGGAGAAGAAGGGGAGGCACAGGACCCCAGAAAGTGTCCTGAGCAGGAGGCTTGTGTCCTTCGGGGTGGGGCACCAGCCCTGGTGCTGACCTGTCCTTGCCCTGACCTAGGCCTGTCCTGCTGGGCCAGGCAGGGGCTATGGCAGATGAGCGAGACAAGGTGGCCAGGCCGTGAGCCAGGAACAGTGGGAGTCAGGAATGCCGAATAGTGTGTGCTTGGGTCGGGGAAACCCTGGATAGGACCCATGGGGGATGGAAGGGAGCTGGTGGGGGAGCTGCCCACACAGACAGGCCTGGGTGGCACCCAAGAGGTGTAGGGGTCAGGGGCCTCAGACTCATGGCATAAGACAGGCATGAGGTGTTGGGGGTCTGGGTGAGGGGGTTGACAAACTGCCAGGCTGGAGCAGCGGGTTATCTGGAGGGCCCAAGGTGTTGTGGGATCAGGAAGTGGGGGACACTGGAGTGTTTATGGGGTGCTAGAATAGCTGTGGGATGCACTGGTCTAAGTTGGGGTTGACAGTGGTTGGGACATGGGGAGGTTGATTTGTGTCGGCACAGGGGATTGTGGGAATGGGGGCTGGTAGGGTCTCAAAAAATGGGGCCCAAGCTCAGAAGGAGAAGGCAAATGAGGATTAGGGAGGGGATGCTGTAGTTTAGAATGAAGCCTCTGCCTCCTCTGAGCTTGGAGCCTGGGAAAGGGGCCAGGGTGGGTTTATGATGGTACAGGCAGTGCTGGGGGCTCCCAACAGGCCCCGGGCAAGGAAGAGGCTGCAGAATGCCCACTCTGCTGTTACAGACCAATTACACTGAGACAGCAGGGTTTGCAGCACAGAAAGAGCTTCATGATCACAGGGCACCTAGCAAGGAGATGGGAGGAGACCCTCAAATCCATCTCCTTGAAGAATTCTGGGCTGGGGTTGTTACCAGTGGAAGGTGTCTGAGTTACTGGTGGCGAATCTGTACAGGTCTACAGCAACTTCAGTTCTTGCCTCCTCAGAAGAAAGAATTTGACTGAGGGGCATAAGGCAGAAAAAGAGACGGAGGTGAGTTCAGAGCAGAGTGGAAGTTTATTTAAAAAGTCTTTAGGACATGAAAGAAAGGAAAGTTCACTTGGAAGAGACCTGACCGGGCACCTGAAGGTCAAGAGCCCTGTTTAACTGTGATCCTAGGACTTTATAGGCTCGCCTCTTTCTCATGATTCTTCTCTGAGGGTGAGCTGCCCTCATGCTCTGTGCTCTCTTTACCTTTCGGAAGTGAGCATGCACAGTGTGTGTAGGAAGTTGTATACGTGCCCATCTGAGGCTTTCTTCCCTTTTCCAGTGGAGTGTCCTGGAGAGGTCATACATAGCCATTTTGTCTGTTTTTTTTTTTTTTTTAAGACGGAGATTTACTCTTGTTGCCCAGGCTGGAGTGTAATGGCGTGGTCTCAGCTCACTGCAACCTCGGCCTCCTGGGGTTCAAGCGATTCTCCTGCCTCAGCCTCCTGAGTAGCTGGGACTACAGGTGCGCACCACCACACCCGGCTAATTTGTGTATTTTTAGTAGAGACGGTGTTTCACCATGTTGGTCAGGCTGGTCTCGAACTCCTGACCTCAGGTGACCCATCCACCTCAGCCTCCCAAAGTGTTGGGATTACAGGCGTGAGCCACCGCGCCTGGCCTGCCATTTTGTCTCTTAATGCACGTGCCCAGGAAGTTGCTTCTCCCTGGCACCTGCATTCAATTAACACTTTAATGTTAACACCTGTGGATCATCAGGAGCTTGTCTCACTCTGGCCCTCTGGCACCAACTGCGAATTTTCAGTTTAGAGAGGCAACGTGATAACTGTCAACCACCACCTGACATTCCTAGTGGGTGAGGGAGAAAAGCCCTCTCCTTCCCTGCTCATGTCTAACTACCTGTAACAGGGTTTTTAAAGGGATCATGGAGGGTAAAGGGCTAGAAAATTGGGCTCATTGACTAGTTGGGGTAAAGGGGATTAAATTTTCAGGAGGTGGAAACTGCATTCTTTTTTTTTTTTTTGAGACGGAGTCTCACACTGTCACTCAGGCTGGAGTGCAATGGCACGATCTCAGCTCA